>NC_000001.11:204245193-204396708 GCF_000001405.40 Homo sapiens
GAGAGGTGTGCTGGGTGGGGAAGACGGTAGATGGAACTGATACTGTTGTCCCTGAGGTGTCAAGGAAAGCCAGTCTGAGGTCCCAGGGCTCAAGGAAAACTCTAAGGTAGGGGTCACATGTCACAAGTGGGCCCATGTGCTTGGGGGCTGGGGAGGCTTAGGTGCTTTTGACCTTTTCTGGGGAGGACTTTAGAGTGTCAGGGTCAACAGTGTCTCTGAGTTGTTTATTTGGTCTATTCTGTGGGGGGTAAGGGACCCCTACCTACCACCCTAGAACCCAGGGGAAGATTCTGGTGTCCCAAGAAGGCCCTGCCTGGCTCTGAACACAGTGTGAGCTGGCAGGAGTGGGATGGAGGTCAGAAATACTGGAGCACTCCTGGTGAGGCAGGCAGCCTAGGAGGCTGGCACAGGAGGCACCCACCTCTGTGCTTGGCGGTGTCCGTGCCCCGGGAGGGGTTGTTCTTCCTCAGCCCCTCCATCACGTCCTGGATCCTCCAGATCTCCTTTTGGATTTGCCGGTTCAGCACCTCATTCTGAAGCAGCCACACAGTGAGTCAAAGGAAATGGCCATGAGGAGTGTCCAGCCCTTTCTCTCAGCCCAGACCCCTTGGAACCCACATCCCTTTGGGCCAGCAGGAGGCAGGCACCCTGTGTACACACACACACACACACACACACACACACATGCCCCTCCAGCAGTCATCTTTCCCATGGGCTGCCTCTGCTCTTCAGCCTCTAGGAGATGGCACCCCAGAATTGCCCGAGTTTCTGAACCAAGACTGAGGACGCACCCTTCCGAGCTCCCTCAGGGGAAAGATGGGTGGTTTTCGAGTGAATGCCCATCTAAGTGAACACTTTATGGTATCCTGTTTTTCGTGGGGCAAGAGCTTCCATTTTACTGCTTTTCTTCACATCCAAACAGCCCTTTTCTAATACCCACTCCCAGCGTACGCCTGAAGAGTCATGAATTCAATTACAGTTGACAGTCTAAAAGGTAAGACCTCCCATTTATTTAGCATCCCTCAGCACCAGGCACTATGCTAAGCAATTTGCATATACAGTGCTAACTCATTTCGGCTGCATGACTCTAGGAGATAAGGGCAGCAGCTATCCCCTCTTCAGAGATGAAGAGACTTACACCCAAGGCCATCTATTTAGTAAGCAGCATGACCATCATCTCAATATGGGTCTATTTGGACCCGAAGTTAGCGCCCTTGACCACAACCCTATCCCCCCTACTAAAATGTCTGTGTTTCAAGTGAGGCTTGGCCACGGGACATGGTGGTATTTGGGTCTTCTGGACCAGGTGGGTCTTCACCCTACCTAACCAGCTGCAAGGTAGGGGTGGTGAGTAGCATTACCAGGAGGGAAACAGAAGAAAATGGGGGAAACCAGGGTGTTAACTGCATCAGAGAGACAGGGCTTGCAAACTAGCTAGAGAAGAGGCAGGGCCTGGGTGAAGAAAAGGCAGAGGGAAGAAAAGAACAAGAACTCCCCAAGATCATCATGTCAATCCTCCTGCCTCCAGGCAGACTGTTTCTAACCCACCCCAGGAAGAAAAGCCTCTCTCCTATCTAAAAATTCCTGAGCAGATTGCTCCCGCAGCGCCTACTCTTCTAATGCCTGAGTTATTTATATTTACACGTCTGTTTTTAAATCCTGCTGGGCACAGTGGCTCATGCCTGTAATCCCAGCAGTTTGGGAGTCTGAGGCAGGAGGATCACTTGAGCTCAGGAGTTAGAGACCAGCCCGGCCAACACAGGGAGACCCTGACTCTACAAAAAATACAAAAACTAGCCAAGCATGGTGGTTCATGACTGTGGTCCCAGCTACTCAGGAGGCTGAGGTGGGAGGATTGCTTGAGCCCGGGGCAGTCAAGGCTGCAGTGAGCTGTGACTGCGCCACTGCACTCCAACCTGGGCAACAGAGCAAGACCCCATCCCAAGAGGAAAAAAAATCCTTTCAGTCATAAAACACCTGTGTCTAACTGAAGTCTCCCAAGCTTCAGCTTTAACTCCTTCCCCTGTGAGATGAACCTAAAGCGTCCCATTATCTTCATCCTGAAACTTAGAGTCTGTTATCAATGGCCGGAACCTTTGCTTTTGTCTCGAGGCCAACTCCTCATCTTTAGTCACATCCCAATCCCCGCCAGCTCAGGGGCCCTTCTTCACCTGGGTGTCCAAATTGAGCTGCTCCCAGAGGTCATCGTGCAGGGCAGAGACCTCAGACTCGAGGTGCTCATACTCTATGGTGCTGTTTGTCAGGGCCTACGGGGGAAAGAGGCGTTCACTGAGAAAGCCGCCATCACCAAGGCATTCCTCCTTATCCTGCAATGGACCCTGGGGCCAGGGTACCAGAGGCACAAAGATCTGGGGAAGAGGGCATGGAGGGACCGAAGGAGAGGGGCACCAGGCTGAGACATTCTGGTGACAGCCAAACACTAGCCTTACAAGAGATGTAACAGCCCATCCCACCACCAACTGAAATAAAGAGAAAATGGAGAGGGATGATATCACTTCCATACCCTCCTATTCTCCCCAGATCAGCGGATAAAAAGTAGAGGGCATAGCCTGGGGAAAATGACAAGACCCCATCTCTACAAATTACAAAAGTTAGCTGGGCATGGTGGCGCACCCCTGTAGTCCTGGCGACTTGGGGGCTGAGGCAGGAGATCACTTGAGCCCTGGAGGTCAAGATTGCAGTGAGCTGTGTTTGTGCTACTGCACTCCAGCCTGGGTGACACAGTGAGACCCTGTTCTTAAAAAAAAAAAAATTTAAGTGGAGGTCAAAGAGAAAAGAGCCTGAAGGAGGATATTTATTATTCAGAGGTTAGAGAGCTTCCTCCTTTCCGAGCCACACTTTCACGGGGCTTTTTCTGCTGCTTCTTGGAGCCATTCTCCAAGCAGTCTGTGTCGGAAGGTCTGCCCTTACCTGCTGGGAAGTAGTGACCAGGGCAGCAGCCTTTTTTTTTTTTTTTTTTTTGAGATGGAGTTTCACTCTTGTTGCCCAGGCTGGAGTGCAATGGTGCGATCTCGGCTCACGGCAACCTCCGCCTCATGGGTTCAAGCAATTCTCCTGCCTCAGCCTCCTATCTGGGACTACAGGTGTGTGCCACCACAACCGGCTAATTTTGTATTTTTAGTAGAGACAGGGTTTCTCCATGTAGGTCAGGCTGGTCTCAAACTCCCACCCTCAGGTGATCCACCCGCCTTGGCCTCCCAAAGTGCTGGGATTATAGGCGTGAGCCACTGAGGCCAGCTGGCAGCAGCCTTTTTGCCAGTGCTTTGCTTCTCCGAGGGAGAAGACAGAAGTGGGCAGCAGAGGTGTTAGCACAGCCAAGGAAATAAGTAACTCACAACTTCATGCTGTCCCAAAGAAATCCAGGTACAGGTATAGTTTGTGGGAAATAAGCTCATTTCCTCGGTGGAGACTGGAATGAGCAGACTGGCTGACTTGCTATTTATTTGCAGGGCAATATTGAGGTCTTTGTTTATGCCCCTCTGCACGGGAGTACTCAGCTCTTGTCCTCTGAGGAAAACTGGACTAGGACAGCACAAGCTGGGAGGTGGTGGCCCTGCTGCCTAGTGCTGATGAGGTGGGGTGCACGAACCCCGCTCCCTGGGTTACCGTGGTCGCCTGAGACAGCTCCACGCGGATGTTGATGAGCTGGTTCTGCAGTGAATCCTTTTTGTGTCGCAGCTTTTCTGGGTAGGCGGGCTGGCTTCCAAACATCTCCAGCTCCTGGTGGGTCCCCATCAAGGCACTTTCCAGGCTCTCCTGAAGAAAGGCAGGGGAATGACATGAGCAGCCCTGACAGCTCCTCTCTGGGATTGAACAGCAGAGGCCTGAGCCCTTAGAGGTTCAACAGGCAGCTGAGTGGAAGCTGTCCTTGCTTTGTCATCTCAGTCAGGTTGGAGACAGCAGCCCACAACCTTCTCCAAGCCAGCCTCGCCCATCTGCCCCAGCTTAAAGCCACCCCCAGCTTCTCACCTTCTCAGCTCGGAGCTGCTGCACCAGCCGGTCCTGCTCCCTCACCACCTTGTTCTGCTCACACAATTTTCCCAGCAGCTTCTAGGGACCCAGAGAGTGGAGAAGGAGAGGGAGAAAGAAGGGGATGAAGGACATAGTTTGATGGGGACCTGGGAGTTATAGGCCTGGCCTCTGGATACCCCCCTCCTTTCTCCTGCTGAGGAACCCTGGGCCTTCACCTTGCCCTTGGTGGCTCCTGAGAACAAGAAGATGGGTCTTCATCTTGGGAGGTGAGGTATGCTTACTCTCTGAGGAAGTGAGTTGGGTTAAGAGGGCTGAGAGGCAAGTGTTAAACTCTGGCACCCCCATCCTTCCAAGGGTTGCAATTCACAAAGGACTGAGGAGATGATATGACCTCACCTCTTAGGCTGGACTGAAGAGGTGGGCCGGGTGTCAGAACAAGCAGTCTTAGAAAAGCAGTGAGCAATAGAAACTGTCCCTCAATCCCACAGAACCTTCTCCCTTCTCTCTCAAGATCCTGTTCTTCCCTCCTCCCTTCAAAGTCTCAGGATGGCTGATCCTCCCTCTGAGGTCTAGTCCTGTCAGGAAGGATCCTCTCCCAGTCTCACTGGGCAGATCCACTACCCAAGCAGGGCCAGTGGTGATGGGGAGCAGACAGGTGAGGCCAGAAAGAGGGCTCATGCTTTCCTAGTCCGCACCTTTATTCATGCCATTCCTCAAATACCTGCTTTGCTCCTTTCCACTGAGCCAGATTTTACCCTCTGGGCCTTTTAACTTCAAGGCCTAACTCACATGCTGCTTGTTTTGTCCCTGACCTTCAGCCCACACGGCCTCACTTCCCTGCACCTGGCAGAACCTATTATGGCTCCCCTTCACTACATGAATACCGTGTTGCCACCTCCTGCTGCTACCTGGCACTTCCCACTACCCTGAAGCTCCCTGAAGCCAGGGGCATAGCCGTATTCTCCTTTCTAGTTACCTGTAGGGACTAATGCCATGCTGGGCACAGAATAGACTGACTGATCTATCTCCCAACAAAGTCTGCATTCATGTTACAAGCAGATCTCACTGCCGTAGGCAAAACGGCCCAGCGCTCAGTGGAGAAATGGATACAGCCAGCATGGGAGGGAAGGGTGAGTGGGTGGTAGATCAGAAAAGAAGGGGGATGAGGAGGAGGTAGGCAGAATCTTGTTGTGGTGAGAGAAGACATGAATCAAAGGTATGAAAAGCCACCAGAAGGAGAGAGATAGATGGAGAGACAGCCCCCGCAGAGGAAGAGAGATGGATGGAGAGACAGCCCCCCGCAGAGGACAGCAGCAGGAGGCTGGAGTGGAGGGAGGGAGCAGGGGGCGCTGCTCTTACATCTGTGTCTTGCTCGTTTAACTTGTAGGTGTGGAGGCTGTCCCGGAACACTTCTGGGTATGGAGGGACCTGCAGGAACATGAGGCCGGTTACTGCAGCAGGGGCAGGATGAGGGTATGCAGGGATAGGAAGCTAACATCACAATCCCGCTGTGCTCCTGCCAGAGACCATGGTCCGTCACCTCTGGTAGCTTCTGTTCCAGGGACCTGAGCTCATTCCACATCCCCTGGCTGGAAGCCTGGGATGGCCCGGCCTAACCCCATCCCAGTTGTCCTAGGCTGACTCCGGAGAGATCAGAACTCTGCTTGAGTCATGCTCTGTATTTCCTCTCCCCCAAGCACTAGGGTCAGCTGCTAAGAGCGACTGCAGGGTGTGCAGCTCCCAGTGGCTTGTTGGTAACCACCATGAGAACATCAGTGAACTCCATGGCTGTCTGTGGGGTTAAGACATAGGGGAATGGTCGGAATGAGCATTGGGAACAGTTGAAAACTATTGCCCTAGTAGACTGAACACCTGGGCTTGTGTCTAAACAAAAATTGGCAAGAATTCAGAAGCGTCTCCGGATCCAGTAAATGCTGCCTAGCCTGGACGCCACATCTGGTGACCACAGCACATTCTATACACCTTTGACATTAGATGGTTCCATTACACCCCTCATGCCTTTAACCCCAGTGACGTCTGTCAAGATGTTACAAATATGAAATCGAAATCAGAACATTCAAGAGCAGAGTTGCGATCCCCAGCATGGCATGAGATGTTGGTGCTGGCTATTTTGATGGTTTGGGAAATGGGCCTTGGGTTTACCCATGAAAGTGAAGAATGGAGGTGACATAGTGGAATTAAGGAAGGAAGACCAGGCCAAGCCTGTCTCCAGGCAGATGAGCGGGTTGGGTGGCGTGAGCCTCATCCTAGATGGGCAACTCGACCATGCACAAGCAGCTGAAATGGCATTGGCAGGGACCATGCTGCCAGGCAGAGGTCTTACTTGCATGAAGAGTTGGGACCTGGGGGAGGAGTTTTCCACCATGCGGTTCACCATACTGATGAGAGTCTCGCTCTCACTCATCTGCAGCAGAGGAAGGAACGGACTATTCACACTCCGACCTACATGTAGGTATCTCCCCTTCACCCACCTGTGCTTGTTTCCCAGGAAACAGGGGAGGGCAGCTCCCCCAGCACCCTGAGCTTGCCCTCACTCCTTGCTCACCCCTAGTGACCTCTGTTTCAGGACCAGCACTGAAGCTGTCCTTGCAGAAAGGCCACAGAAGGGGCCGGGAGGCCACTGGGACCTTGCTGGAGGCACTGCAGAGGCTGGGGCCTGGTGACTCTTCCCCAGGGTGCCTGGCTGTTGTCCCATCCGCACTGGCCACGGTTGTCATCTCCCTGCCCTGATCTCATTTCTCACACCACTTTTGACAAAGACCATAGAGGCAGTTGGAAGACTGATCTCCCCAAAGTTGAACTAAGTGAAACAACCAAAAAAGAAAATCTAGGACCTGCTCTTTGGATGGGCCGCCACAGATACAGAGGCCTGCCCCCTCTCCCTGCCCCTGCCCCTCCCCACCCTCGGCTCTAGTGCAGAAAGTGCTAAACACGGTTTCCAGAGCTGGGCTGGCAGCATCCATGAGGATCTCGGATGACGCTAGGGAGCAAACAAGGAGGCCAAAACAAGCAAGCCACATTAAAGGGACACCAGGCTTTCCAACACATTCTTTCTATTTCAAGAATCCTTAGGAACATGGAGGTGGAAAGACTATTTGCCAATTTAAAAAGAGAGAAATGGAAGAAGGGATGGGATGAGGAGGAAGAGGAAGGGAAAGGAGGGGTGGGAGAAAGGGCAGGCCAACCAATCAACCAGAAATGCCATCATTTCCCCCACTGGTTCCAATGGGAAAGGACCAAAAAGTGAAGATATCAGGGAATGTCTTTGGCTGTGTCCCTTTAACTCCATTGTTCTACAGGGGAAGGCAGCAGAAGACAGAGGGGGTTGTGCAGGGAAAGCTTTCTGGAAGGGAAAGTGAATGAGAAAGGGAGGAAAGAGCCACATTAGGGAAGATTATCTGGGGTTTCTGTTCAGAGGGTCCCCTGTGATTTTTCCGTCATCTCTCCAATCTCAGTTGCACCCACACTGTCCTTTCTTCCTCTTACCCCTTTTAGGCAGCGGCCCACATACAGCCTTGCTTCTACATGTTGTAGGCAGGGCAAGGGCACCCACCATCCCATTTGCAGGGTCTGCAGCATTTCAAAAGGCTTTCCTAGGAACTGATTTTTCTACCTCTTTAGCCCTGTAATGCAAGGGCCTTGAGGGCCAGGAGCCATCCATGCACAGTAACCTGTAGGTATCTCATTCCTTCCCCAACACGCAGATCCAGAGCAGTAGAGGAAGCGAGCAGGAGTGTTCTCATCCTGGCCTGCTCCCGCCTGTGCTGCGGCTTTGGGGATCTTTCAGCACAGGTGGGTCTTACCTCTAGGAGGATTCTTGTGTGCTACCTTCTGTCTCTTCAAAATGTTAGATTTTGTAAGAAACTACCTAACCCAGTGCCTCACACATGGTAAGGAGTGCTCATTGATATTTTTGAGTTTGGGAAAAACAAAATAATAACAGCAGCAAGTGGTGACTGTCACTCCTTGCGATGCCTGACAAAGAGCTCACATATGCACCCCTGCTTGATTCTCCCAATACATCTGTGAGGTTGAAAGGAAAGGGCAGATTCTACAATGCCCATTTTATGATTGAGAAAACAAAGACCCAGAGAAACTAAGTGACATTTCCAAGATTAAAAAAAAAACAAACTTCCTTGTAAATGGCAGAGCTAGAACTAGAGCAGCAGTGTCTGACTATGTCCTGGACTCTTCTCATCATACAAGACTGCCTTTTAAGAGTACTACCTACGTGAACCCTGGGGGCGAAGCCTACAGTGAGCCGAGATCGCGCCACTGCACTCCAGCCTGGGTGAAAGGGCGAGACTCCTTCTCAAAAAAAAGAGTACTACACTTGGCCAGCTACAGTGGCTCATGCCTATAACCCTAGCACTTTGAGAGGCAGAGGTGAGAGGATCACTTGAGGCTGGGAGTTTGAGACCAGCCTGGCCAGTACAGTGGGACACCCATCTCTACAAAAAAAAATTTTTTAATTAGCCAGGTGTGGTGGCTGCACACCTGTCTGTAGTCCTAGCTGCTCAGGAGGCTGAGGTGGGAGGATCACTTCAGCCTGGGAGGTGGAGGTTGCAGTGAGCTAGGTTTGTGCCACTATACTCTAGCCTAGGCAACAGAGTGAGATCTTGTCTCAAAAAAAAAAAAAAAAACAAAAACAAAAACAAACAAACAAACAAAAAGGAATAATACCCTTTATCCATGAGGGAGTCTTCTGGAAGGCTAGTTCTGAAGCCCCTAGCCTAATGGACCAGCCCCTCTGTGAGGGCAAAAGCCCGCAGGAAGGGACCCTGCTGTCTGCACTGAATGCTTGGACAGCTGGGCATTGTGGATGGAGTAGAAAGCCAATCACATGGGTGACAGGGAGGATAGCTTGCTCAGGAATCCGGAGGTGGGTGGGCCATGAGCCCTGCTCCTCACCCCTGCAAGGCACTTTGGATCTTGTTTCCCATCAGCAGGATCCTGGACCTCCCGGCCCTGCTCAGAGTTGGAATCCTGGGATCTGTTCCCACATGGCCCAGAATGCTCATGGTGTGGACACAATGAGCTGCTTCTGGAGCTGGAATGCCACGGCCTCCAGGGCCAGGAGCCATCCCTGTTTATTGAACTGTGGACATTGGTGCTTCCTAGTGCCTGAGGCCTATTACAAAATCGAATTGCGACACCGACATGAAGCCCTGGTGAGATGGGTCACATGGCTTGTGACTAGAAGAACCAACAGTTGCAGCTATAGCATCTCATTTAAAATTTTTTTTTTCTGTAACTTTAAGAGCATGAACTCATCCTAATGAGGTTTGACAGCAGCTTTGTCACACATTAGATGTTTCCTCAGCTGTAAACTGGGTCAGAAGCTTGGAGTCACTGTCCAAGCTCGGCTGTTCACTGGCTGTGTGTTCTTGGCATGTTATTCAACCTCTCTGTGCTTTAGTTTCCTCAGCTGTAAAATGGGGGTAATAATAGCATCCATCTTACAGGGTTATAGTGAAGATTAAATGAGTTAAGATCTGAAAAATGCTTAGAATAGTATGGGGCATGGAGGAGGCATCCAATTATTGTAGCTGTTGTTATTATTATTATTATTTCCACCCCTCCAGGCTGCCTCCACAGGACAGTGTTGTGTACTTCTAGGTCGTGGTTTGTAGCACAGATCTAAACTTAAGAGTATGTGCTTATATAAATACCCAGCATATTGACCCCCAGCCTGTCTAAACTCAGTCTCACAGCTCCCTTAGCTTAAAAGACAAGAAAGGGTTAGAACCCCGGAGCAGAGACCAGGCAGCCACTGCTTGCAGCTCATGGAACATTCACTGCCTCTTCAGCTTGCTCACCTGTAAAACTGGGTTGATAATACTCCCTCTGTTTGCACTGAATTCTCAGGAATGCACGAGCTGTTTATGCAAAAGGGCTTTTGGAGGAACTAATGAATACACTGAGTGAATATTACTTTAAAAATCATCCTAGGGAGGGTCTGCAGGCCTCAGTTTACCAATTATGGAGTTTAACAACAACCTGTAAAATATGATAAGATGATTTCCCAGATTCAGGCTGAACTAAATCCCTAGCATTTTAGGCCCAGCCTAGAGCTCCCTCGACTCTGCGACTCCCTCCTCTCGCCAGAAAAAATGCAAATTCCCACCTGCCCCCTGGGGGCAGTTCCATCTGAGCTGAGCACTGGAGAAATAAGAGGTGGCATTAATTATTCATGTGCCTACTTATTATGCTTCTTTCCCCAGGAAACTCCCAGCTGTCCTAAAGGGCTTTGAAGAGAAGGGGTGTGTAGGCGCAAACCAAAACATAAGCCACTTTGTTGTGTCCTGCTTGCACCAACAAAGGTTGTCAAATGGCTGGAAGATGAGGAGGTGGGGAGGAGTGGAGAGATGCGACAGGAAGGCAGTGGGATGATAAGGGGGGCACCAGCTCTGCCTACCTGCTGATCCAAATACTCTAGGTTTCTTTGCAACTGAAGATCTAAAAGTTCATCCTACCCGGAGCCCGAGGCCCAGAGGCCAAACAGCAACACAAACAAACAGGAACACACAAAAGAAAACAATAAAAAAAGAAGCAAAGCAGTTAAGAGTTAGCGACAAGGACAAGGAGAGGCTTCTCCCTCTGCCCTTGAGGAGTTCTCAGGAAGGGAGGGGTTGAGGATGTGGGCAGGCAAAGTAGTTCTCTACTGGACACTCCAGGAGAGGAGGGGCACACGCAGACCCCAGTGCCATCTCTCCTAGGTCTGCCTAGGCCTCCCTGGGAGAGGTGAGTGTCATCAGAGCAATTTAGGCAGCACTTGTTAGCAGCTGTTTCTGAGTTTTCTGGAAAAATCGGTTGTTTCTGGGTGCGTGTGTTTGCTGTGGGCAAAGCTTATATGCTGTGGACACTGGCAGAGTGAGAATCAGACAGAGAGGGGAAGGAGCAGCCGCCTAGCCTCCAGCCTGCCCAGCCCTCCTCCACTCTGGCCTCCTGGTACTGTTATGGAAATGAGTCAGCAACAGGCTTTCTGGAAAAGGATTCTGCCTGTTGGTCCCAGTGGTCCTCCCCAACCCTCCCAAGTGGAGCATCTTATCTAGGTCTCTAGGTGGTGGCAAAAGTTCTCAGGAGAACAAATTCCAGGGAGAGACACGAGTAGAAAGAGGCAGAGAAAAAGGAGGAGATGCAATTCGGAAAATTTTTTCTTCCTCAATCATATCGCTTGTATCTCTCCCCAAAAGTGGCATTCCAGGCAAAGGACAAACATGAAATAACTATGCTTCAGGGGAAAAAAGTTTAGAAGATCTTGCTTCTTGTTAGGAGCTCTGGCCTGATTTTTCCTGCCTAGGCCCCTTCTCCTGCATGCTGGAGAGGAGAGGGACCAGGATATTACATGCTCCCAGATCTCATCCCTCCTCCACGGGCTGTGTCACAGAGGAGAAGGGGTTATTGGCACCAAACTTGATACTGGGGCTAGAGTCCTGGCTGGGAGGGAGGAGGTATCCAGAGGCTGCTAAAAACCAGCCAGGCCAGGCACTAGGCACAGAGCGTCCCTGGAGTCCGCCCCAGTTTAGCTCCACCCTGAGTGGAGCACGGTGCGGGGAGGCCCTGAGACAGGTGGAGGGGAGAAAGGACGTACCATCTTATCGTGGACCGTGGGGGATGGTGGGTAGTTGTAGGGGAACAGTCCTGCAGGGACTGGCCGCCTGTCTCCCAGGTAATCATACTGGAAGAGAAAGGGATCGCAGAGGTGAGGGGTCTGGCTGGGACACGGAGTTCCCCAACAGCTGAAGCTCAAGGTTAGAGGTATTTGTGTTCAGTTCCCAGAGCAGATCCCAAACTGAAATGGACAGCAGCCCCCCTTGCAATGATCTGTCCAGGTCCTCAAGATTTGAAAAGACAGAACCCTCTCTGCCCTCTTATATGACGGCATGGTATCTGGCACAACTTGGGGGCATGTACAGAAAGCAATGTCCCCACTCAAGAGGCAAAGCCATCCCCAAGACAGCTCTCCTACAGACAGAACCACAGGCCAGGGGCTCCGCTGGGCAGCACTGCTGGTCCTGCAGACAAACGGCCCAGTGGCCCCGTGGCACAGATGCTCCCACATCTCTGCCTTTTCTCAGTAGATGGTCTTAGGCTTCTGGGGACCTCAGGGGATGAGGAAGGAAGGGCAGGCTGGTGGCTCACCTTGGGGGAGCTGATGGATCGCCTCATCACATAGGCAGCAGGGTCAGCATAGATGTCCTCACTGCGAGGTGGCAGCCGCTCAAAACGGGCACTGGGTGAGCGGACAGGGGAGTAAATGCGGGCACGGCTGTAGGAGCCCTGGCTGGGTGAGCGGGGCACAGAGTGGGAGCGGGGCTGCAGGGACAGGCGGCGCAGGGAGCTAGAGGCGGCATCCAGCTCATCATAATAGACTGGCTGCCGGGAGGGGCTTGGGATCCAGACGGTGGCATCCTGCCGCCCGTAGCTGGCGGGCTCCTTCCACTCTCGCAGCTGGTAGGCAGGGCCACCCCCATTGCGGAAGGCATGGCGCTTGTCCTCCAGGGCCCAGGGCGGGCTGATCCGATCATAGGCCGGCATGGAACAGATGCTCTCCGGCCGCACTCCTGGCGGGTAGTACTGATAATCATCGGGGTACTGGGAGGAGTAGGGGCCATAGTACTCAGGGACCCTGCGAGACACAGGATAGAACCTAGAGGGACTGAGAGAGAGGGGACATTGTAATGAAGGCAGACAACACGGGCACCCCTCCACCCACCCCAGCCCCACCTCCAGGTCCCCCAGCCTAGAGCAGGGTGCTTGAATAGGTACACAGGGGCTGAGGTTTATTCCAGAGATGAGGGAAAGACTCCTGTCCTCACAGCCCCCCTCCTCAAACAACTCCCCAAGGCTGGACACTGCACCATTCAGAGCTTCAATCTTTGCCTCTTTAAAATGACATATCCCTAGGAAGAAACGTGAAGCCTTATCAGCCATCTCCATCTCAGCATGAACCAGTTTATCAGATCTTTTCTGAGAGAGGCAAATAGAAGAAAGTCTACCAGGCACCTGAAGGAGGGCAATGTAGGAGGGATGAAAGAAAGGGCGGCTTCCTGATCTATTTTATATTATTTTAGAGATGAGGTCCATTCTGTCACCAGCCTGGAATACAGTGGGGCCATCAAGGCTCACTGCAGCCTTGAACTCCTGGGCTCAAGCAATCCTCCCACATCCACCTGTAGAGTAGTAGCTGGGACCACAGGTGTGAGCCACCATGCCCAGCTTCCTGACTGTATGATCTTGTCAGGGACAGAACCAGTAGATTCTTGGGACTCATCCCAAGTGGTTCTCCCCAGAGCAGGCCTGATGCTCCCAGGCACCAGACCACCAGCAATGCGCAGCCGCTCAGGCCACTAGAGGGCAGGTTCCTCCCGGGCCCCATGGCCTTCCTGAAGCTGTGGCCTGCAGTCCCTGGAGCTGCCCAAATCCCCAGGGAAGGAGCCTGCAGCCCATTTGCCCTGAGGGACACCATTGGGCCCAATAAATGTCCCCAGATATTTCAAAGTCAGTCATTGGATAAAGGCGTAAATGGTCATAGATGGCCATGTTGGGACCAATGAGCTACTTTGTTTTGTTTTTTAACTTCATATAAATCATGGCTTTAAAACAATTAGAGTTGTTCAAAAATGGAATGAGTTGGTCTGGCAGTTAGTGAGTCTCAAGTGGGTGGAGCACTGGGGAGAGGATGTTGTAGGAGGGCCCATAGCTTGGATGGATGTATGACTATAACAACTTCAGGCCCCCTCCCAAAGCCTGCTGTGTTCTGGGCTCCCCAGCACGCCGTGGAGAGGCACTGGGGCACTCTGTCCCTTCTTCTGAAGGAAGCAGACAAAGAAACCAAGAATCAGGGACAGCAGCCAGACTCTAATGGTGGAGCCATGGGGCAGGCAGGATTTGGGCAAGCCAGGAAGCATGGGATTTGCTTGGTTTCCCAACTCAGCCTGCTTCCAGAAGGTTTCCAACAGGGGATGCCTCGTGGGCTATGACCCCACTCGCACGCTCTAGCCATAATACCATATCAGCCCCACCCCAGCCGCCGGCATGCCTCACCTCCGAAGGTCTTCAGGCGGGGGTACCCCCCGGCGCAGATTCACCCACTGCTGAAGCTGGTTCATGGAGCTCTTGCGCTGGGCAATTTTGTCAGGGTTGGTGCGTGGTGGGAAACTCCGCCGGTGTCCCCCAGTCTCTCCATCCTGAGACGGGAAAGCTGTGCTCCCTGGCCGGCTTGGGGAGTGGTACTGCCAGCCATTGGGCTGGGCAGGCTGTTCCCCACCCCCTGGCACTCTTGGGCCCTCGGGGTAAGGGCTGCCCGGCTCTGAGGCTGGCTCCGGTCCAGCTGGGAGGCCATTGGCTTTCACCGGAGGCTCTTTCTTGACTTCTGGCCTCTCAGGCCTTCTCTCTGCCTTCTCACAGCCTCGGCCATCACCCTCCCCTCGAGTCTTGGCCTCTGGCTCAGGCTTAGGGAGGCTGTTGTGGGGTGGCTGCTGGTGGTGCTTGCTGGGTGGGACGTTCTCCGAGTCTGGCTTCTCATGGCTGCAGGATGCCAAGGGAGATGCTGTCAGTGACTCTAGCCCAGCATGGAGTGGGGCAGGGGGTGCCAGACTGGGAAGAAGAGGAGTGGGGAAGGATGGGCAGGGAGGTGGCTGGAACCAGGATTCTATGAACTCCAGTTCTGCTTCCTAAGTCCCACCCCTTCACCTTCTCGCTCCAGCCTGGGAAATTATTATACAACCTAATCCGCCCCTGCCCACACCTGCTGTGTTAACTCTGCCCCCCACGTCTTCTCTGCAGGTCATTCTCCACCCCACTCCCCTCTGTCAGTCTGCTTTGAGCCCAGCCTTCAAGCTATGGCATGACTAACCTCACCTAGTCTTGGTCCTCTCTGCGATCTATCCCTGACCCAGCTCCCCAAACTGGGTTTGCACTCACATCAGTAACTGTCCTTGATACTCCAGTGACAAAGGCTTGTCACGGGGCAGCTGTCTTTCTTATAGAAAGTTATTTAACTGCCAAGAGTCTTGGGCTCCTCATCAGCAGAATGGGCATAATAATAGCTCCCCTCCTAGGACTGCTGTGAGATAAAACATGGCGGGCACCAGGAGCAGAAGTTTCTGCTTTCAAACTCACAAGCACATAAACACGCTAGTTCCCTTCTCCAAAACACATTTCTTCCAGGACTGACTTTCCATGAGAATACAGGCCCCACAAGGGTAGGAACATGGCAGACTTTCTTCCCCTGTGTTCCTAGCACCCACTACAGTGCCTTGCACATTTATATTTACAGTAAGTATTTGTGAAATGAATGAATGAACTCTTGGAATTATGCCCCTTGGTTGAAGCGAAGATGGAAATTTGTGACAATTTTCCCCCTACAGCTTCCCAAACTCCACATATTCAAGTGGGATTGTTGAAACATTGCTTGGTAAACATTTCTAAGATATGTGGACTTGGAGCCTACACTGTGAAACCCCCTTTTCCTGGATCCCCCTTAGCACCTAACTCAAGACTCCACATCCAGTTAAGGGAGAGACAGACGCTGAGACCGTGGGTGACGGCGGGCGATGGGAGCGGCCATATGTTAAGAGTTTACTGCATGTTGAGTGTTTTACACGCACTCTGTGTAGGCCTCACAACAACCCTATGAGGTAGAGTTGTATTTGCTGGTTTTTGAGCAGAGGAACCTCGGGTTCAGAGAGGGTGAGTCCCTTGCACTGAGATCACGCTACAGCCAAGTGGACAAGGTGTGATTCAAACCTGAGTTTATTTTCCTCCAAAGGCGGTGTGCTTAACACACACAGCCGAGAAAAACCAGCAAATGACCCTGACCTCTGGCTCCTGGCCAGACCCCAATGGAACCTGGCTTTTCTCTTGGCCTTCCCGAGCTCAGAGAGAAGAGGAGGAGCTGGCTAGGGGAAGAGAGACTTCAGGCTCTGAAATCACTCAGCCAGGCCTCCCGCCTGGATGCAAGGAGACGGCTCACACATTCTCCAGGGCTTCAAGTAGGCACACTGGGATTAGCAATGGCCCAGAGCTGGGTGTGTCTTCCATTCCCCTCTTTATTCTTCCTGCACCCCCACACTCAATTCCCTGGCACTCACCTGTGCCGCACAGCTTGGGGCACTGACTTCTGGGCTGGAGGGATCTGTACTCGAGCAGCCTCCCCCATGGCCTGGATCCAGGCCTCTTGCTCCTCGGGGCTCTCGGCACTGAAGAAGTAGGTGCGGACCCCGGCATGCTCAGCCTGTGGGGAGAGGCAGCGTGTGGAGCTGGCCTCGGCCTCATCCACCCAGCACACAGTCACCTGTTGGGAGAAGACACCAACGCCCACAGAATGGGCAGTCAGTTGGGCCATTCCCTGCACCTGGGGCTCTTCCCCATGCGGAGCTCAGGAGCAAGGTGAAGAGGGCAGCTTGCAGCTACCCCGAGGGTTCCAGCTGGTACCCACGTATCCACCTTGGCTGGCTCTCTGGGCACCATTAGGCAGCCCAATAACCAGGTCAGCCTACTTGCCCCACCTGGGGTAATTAAAGCAGGAGGGACAATGATCACACCCATTCTCCCGGCAAATTCCATGTTTGATTTCAAAGGCAATGACCCCATGTCTGGGAGAGAGGACCCCCTGAGCACATGCCAATCTTAGCCCCAGCTTCACTGCTGAGAAGCTAGCACTGTCTCTTCCACGTGGAGAGACAGCCAAGCCCCTCTCTGCAGGCATGCAAAGCAGGCACTGGCATACAGATGGGGCACACTACCTAGTTGGTGGCTGCGAGCAGGTACTGCGGGCGGGAACCCAGAAGAGAGCTCCTGTCCAGAGGAGGGGTCCTCACGCGGTCAGAAGGAGGAGAAGCAGAGAACAGGTCAACCAAACACCAAAGGGAGAGACAGAAGACGACGTGGCAGGAAACGGTGAGGAGCACAGGGAAGGGGGAATATTCAGATTGTCCTCTTCTACTCAGCATTCCCCCGGGAATGGCAGCACCCAACAATGCCCAGTTCTGCCTACCAAGGGGTGGGGAGTGGAGAGCTTGCACCAGGGAAATTCAGGCTGGTGGTGGAGAGTGAGTCAGGGAATCGCAGTGCTAAGCCTGGCTCTGCTCCTGACCAGCTCTGCAACTGCAGACAAGTTGTGGTTTTGCTCTGGTCTTCACTGATGCATCTATTTCACGGGAAAAGAGTCTGCCTGGTGAAATTCAAAGTTCTTAGGCCACAAGGAAAAGAGGCCACAGGACTAAATGCTTTCTGGGACCTCAGCACACTTCCCAGTGAGATCCTCAGTAGCCTAGCTTAGCCCACTCAACAGGGGACATCTAGCAGTGATTCAGAGTCTCGGATGTGAGCCTCACTCCAGCCTCTGACCCCTTGAGCCCTAAATCCTGGGTCTCTGGGGGTTGAGATAGCTTCAGGGCTCCCCTGAACAGCAACGTCAAGCCCACACCCTCTAAATGCTCAAAAGATTCCTCAGCTGCAGCTGGTCCCACCTCGCCTCCACCTGTCCCCAGCCCTCATTTTCTTTCTGACAGGAGCCATTACCCAGCAAGAGGCAGGGGTGGGCCTCCTTCCTCTGGTCCCCACCCTCCAGCAGAGGGCTTAGCATGTAGGTGTGGGAGAGGGCAGGGGAGGTGTTGACAAAAAGCCAGTGAAGACTAAGAAGCTGAGACTTGCGACGGATAGGGGATAGAGAGACCAGGGGCCCAAGCAAGCCTTCTAGGTGGAGAACACAGGGTTATTGTAGAGCGGAGACACACAGGCAGGGCTCGTGGGTGTGTCCTGGGGTGGGTGGGAGCGGGCAGCAAATGAATTCATCAATTCAATGAGCATCCAGGGAGCAGCCTGTGTGTGCAGAACTCGCTGGGGGCACCAGTCACAAGGAAGGCAAAGACAGGCTCTTGCACTTGAAGAGCTGACAGTCACGCTGGGGGACAAAACATGCCGCGGGAAACAAGGAGAGAGCAGAGGCACAGGGACAAGTGCTGTGACAGGAGAAGGCAGAGGGCCTGGGAAAAGACAGGGCCATTGATGGGGAGTGGGTAGGGGCGCTGGCCTGGAACTATGAAAGGGGGCCAGAGAATTGAGGGAGCTGTCCCAGCGGGGCAAAGCCCCCGGAGCCTCTGTGGGGCCAGAGTTAGGGAGAGGTTAAGGCATTCAGCGGTAGCCTGGGCAGGAACAGTTCCTGGCTCATTCTTAGCCATCCAAGAGTTTCGCTCGGTGGCCACAACAGGACAAGCCTCCCATCTGTCTCAGCTCCCCTCCCTTCCCTGGGGAAGGGCCATGGAATAGCCACAATCAGAACCCTTTGTGGGCCACCGAGCACAGCCCTCAGAGTCAGGTTTAAAAGAGGCAGCGCAGTGTGGGGGAAGGAGGCGAGGGGCTGGTGGGCAGAGAGGTGATATCTGGGATCTGTGGTGGAGGGAGTGTGTCAGTCACTCGGGGATGTTTATCTCACGCCTGCTGCTGGCAGAGCTCCGAGCTGGAACGTGTCTGTGTCTCTGCACAGGTCTGGTGGGGAGGGTGAGACAGGCTGTTTGATTGTGTGTGTGGGTGTGTGTGTGTGTGTCTGTGTATAACAGGACTACTTGTTGTTGGTTAAACAGCCTGTTCCTATTTCCCCAGCTAGAACTGGCTCCCTGGAGTCAGAGCTTTATTAATTGTTCATTCTCTTCACACCTCTGGCATACAAGACCCCGGGAGGCTGGAAACTAATTATGTGCCAAATAAGTCCTTCCTTGCTCCCTGTAGCGGGCCCTGTGCATGCTGCCCAGCTCTCTTCTGTGGCCAGGTGACTGGAGCCTGAAGGACAGGAAGGGACAGAGTCCCTTCTTCTAAGGCTCTAGAAGCTCAAGGAGTGACCTACAGATCCAGTCATCTAATATCATAGCTTTGAAGGGTCTTGGACAGCAATTGTCAATTAGGGGAGAGAGGGCTTTGTACCAAGAAAATGTGTGGTTGGTATTATAATTTTATATTTGGAAAATGAAAAGGGACCTATGATTTTTACATCATAAAATACGAAAGGGCATGAGATTTTTATAGTTTCTGATGGGTCGTGACTTTTTAAACGTGGAAAAACACTGGCCTAGGATGAGCCAGCTGCAGGCACATCTTTAACGGGTGGCTCCCCAGGGGTTCAAGGCAGTGATATTGAGCAGGCAGGAAAGGCCCATGTTCCTGTGCACTTGTTCTCTCAAATGGTTTCTTCGTAAGATTTGCAGCTCTTGTGGAATGAAACTCAACTTCTAATATTCGTTAAAGATTGAAATTTGAGTAACTTTGACTTGGGGGTAGGTCCAGTTTCCTGAAACCACGGTGGGGAGGAAGCCTTTCCAGAAAAGGTCTCAGAACCCACCAGCCACAGCTCCTGCCTCTGCCCAGAGGGATTTCCCAGGGGCAGGAACTGGGCAAAAAGTCCAAGGACTAAGAACATAACTATTCCTGCCCCAGTAACAATTGTGGTGCTGCTGAAACACATCTCTACTGGCCCACTCTTAGGAGAATTGCCCACCCAACCCCCAAGAGAGGAGGAAGGTCCCAGCATAGCCTTGCTCTAGCCTTACAAGAGACTGTGCTGAGTCTAGGGGCCATTACTACTCCTCCTCCCCCAACCCACCACCACTGCTATGGCCACCACCACCTGGGATTCCTTAGAGCGATGGCTCTTGGCCCTTCTCCATTCCCATAGGCTCTAGAAGAGCAGGCCTTCCTTCCCCACCTGCCCTGGGAAGGGAAGGCCAACTGACCTTAAACGTGTGTTTCCGGCTGATGTTGTCTGAGGGCTGCACTGCGGCTACCCGGAAGCTCAGGAGGGGGATGCTGCCCAGGATACTCTCTTCCTTCTCATCTGTCAGGGAGAGAGGCACAAGAAGGGTGTGTGTGTGTGTGTGCAAGCGTGTGCGTGCGCCAGGGGTGGGGAGGAGTGTGTTGTCCCTCCCTGATAAATATCAATACATATTTGTTGTTCACCTCCTGTTTGTCAGGCACTCAGGGCCACCACACATGCTCCGAGAGGACACTCCCTGGAGTTAGGGAGTGTGGTGGCCCTGGAGATGCTGTTCCAGACACTGGGACTACAGAGGTGAGTAAGAGAGAAGTAGTGCCTACCCTAAAGGAATTTGCATTCTAGTGCACAAATAAACAAAGAAATAACAGCTGATATTTTGGAAGCGTTCAGGCACTGTTCTAAGTGAAATGCCTTCATGGATTTAATCCTCCCAACAAACCTATGAGGAGGTACTATTATTACCCTCATTTTATAGGTAAGGAAGCTGAGACACAAAGAGGTTAGATGATTTATCCAAGGTTACTTAGGCAACAAGTGGTAAAATTGGTCTTCAAACACAAAAACTGAACTCCAAAGCTAGCATTGTTGACCACTATCCTATCTATCCTGCCTCGCTAAATGAGACCATCCCAGCAGTGACATATGTAACAAGGTGATGGGATAGATCATTGTAGAGTGGACTATCCCACCTTCTGCTCTCTGGTGCCTCTGGGTAACTCTTTCTAAGGTTCTCCCTGGCACTCAGAGCCTGCTTTGCCCTTTTCTGCTGCAGATCCCTGCTGAGGTTCTATGTCTCCACAGGAAAAGGAGTGCTCCCTGCATGGAGTGCTCTGGCCCTCTCCTCCCTGGGATTGGGCTAACAGTCCAGCTATTACATAATTCATCCCGGATCTCCAAAGGAGCCTGATGGATTGGCCAGTTGGGCCCCAGCTGGAAGCAGGAAGCAAGAAAGGGCGGGGAGTGCTCTGTGGGACAGTGGGGGGGACAATTATGAGACTATGGCAAGGCCCTCTCCAATTCCCTGGGATCACTATTTGTTCCCCAGGCTGGGGACTCTGAAAAGCCTTTGGCTAGGGTTCAGAAGAAACCTCTGTAGGGTTATAAACTCCTTAAGCCCTGCTTCTCCTCCTACTCATCACATCTACACGATACTTGGCCCACAGATCAGCTTCTCTGTTTGGACCCCAGCATGGTACCTGGAGGAAGGGGTAAACCAGAGTAGTAGGAGGCACTTGGGGTTGGACCCCAGGGCTGCCTTCAGGAGAGCTGAGGCTCTTGTCCTCCAGAGATGGAGCCCCTGCATGACAGAGTCCAGGCCAGCATTTAGGGGAGTCCTGGGTCCATCTCTTTGTGAACAGTGGCCCCCATTTTGGTGTGTCCTGAGCCTTTGGGTTCTCAGCTCCTTGAGGTTCTACCCCCACTGCTTCCCAAAGACTCTCCTGTGCAGAGACCCCCAATTTTCCTCCAGTTTCATTCCCACTCTGGCTCCACTGTGGCCCCGTATCCTGGAGGTTCAGCACCTCGGTCCTGGGCCTGGGCAGATTCCTCTCCCTGAGTCTTGGGCTTTTCTCTGGGACTGGACTCTGTATGCTCAGCCCCTTCCTGATTTCCCTCCTTGGGGTTCAGGTGGCTGCAATACAGCAACCAGCAACAGCAGTGCTCTGCAGGGTCACTGGGTACAACCTTTGTTTGCCAAAGTTAATGATTCACTGAATTGCTCCCACGAGGACTGGAAATCAGGGCTGTGCCTTCCTGGGCCAAGGGAGTGAAGGAAAGAGCCTCTCCTGCTTCATAACAATTGTACCCTCTCTCCTCTCATCCCTCACGCCTATTTCCTCCCCTGCATCCACATGGCGCCACCATCACTGACCTCAACCCTTGCTGGTGCCCTCAGCCTGCCTTGGCACAACTTTTAAAAATAGAGAGTAGGGAGAGGGTGTTGGGGTCAGCAGAGAAGGTGAAGCCAGAGGACATGTTCACTCATTCAGTATTGACTGAGCACCGACTAAATGGCAGGTAGTGTTTTAGGTGCTGTGGATACAGCAGTGACCAACACTGACAAAAGTTCCTGCCTTCACAGATGGGACTGTGCATTCCAGTGGGATAGGAAGAAAGGCCACACACAAGCTCCAATTAGTAGGTGACCTACTAGTAGTGACTAGTGACCTCCTCCTCTTTGTGCTCATCCTCTCTCCCCATTCCTCCAGGACTTCACCAGCCATATGACCACCTTGTTCACCCAGTGTATCGCTGGAACTCTGCCTGAAACCTAGCAAGCATTGTTGAATGTGAACTGAATGGGTGAGTAAGTGAGTGTGTGAGTGAACAAGTGAGCTTTGTTTTTATCCTGCTGCCACTGGTGCCAGGACCACAGTGAGGAGATCTGCCCTGCTGGTGCCCATCCAAAGCCAAGCTCGGGGATATGGCAGAATGAGAAAGAGTAGTGGGTCCTGGCTTCCTGCCATCCCTGCCAGTCCAAGGGCCAAGCTCACCTTTATAGTAGAAGAGGCAGCGATCCACCAGGACGAACCAGCGCTTGTTCCACTGCTTAACCCCGGAGCTGGCCTGCGGGACATGGGAGAGGCAGATGTGAGGGCTGCAAGCTGGACGTGGACGAGGAGATGGGATGCAGGGAAAAGGGCACAGTGCCAATTATAAGGACATCCTGGCCCTAGCTGCGGCTCTGCTGTTAATGCACGGCAGCAACCCCTGGAGACCTCAGATGCAAGGAACTGACATTAGATTGTTGCCTGTGACCTTCCAGTTCTGTCATTCAGTGCCTCCCCTGGGGAGGATAACAGGGGCAAGAGATGGGCAGAATGAGTGAGTGGAAGGGCAGGCAGGGATAGTGGCAAGGCCAATCTGGTGCCAATCGGTGGACCCTAGACTAGCAGGAGACACCCCTACCCCCCACCATAATAAGCAGGACCTGCTGGGGAGCTAGTGGGTTGTTCCCATGGGGTTGGGGATTCAGCATGTTTCAAGGTCATTGCATCTGTCCATCAGGAAACCGGGCTGGGTTCCCAAGTTTGACACAAATTTTTCTGTGTGATTTTGGGAAGATACTCAGTTTCTCTGAGCCTTTATAAAATTAGGAGACTCATTCACAGAGACAGCAGGGGGACATACCAAAAAAATACACAGCCTGTCATAAGCACAGAGGAATCCTTATTCTGTGAGGAGAAGGTGGAGGCTACGGTGGCCAGAACCGCAGGGTGGCCTCACCTGTTTGAAGAGCCAGCCCGCCTTGGTGACAGGTGCATTGGGGTTCCGCTTCATGGAGTGTGAGCGCTTGCCAAAGGCGACGGCTTTGCGGGCTGTGCGAGTTGCCTGGGGGCAGAGAGAGAAGCTGATCTAGGTCCCCAGTCTCCTCCTTCCTGCTTTATCTGCAAGGGAGCCACCCCTGCTAGAGCTGCTTCTCCCTAGGGTTAACCCTGGGGTGCCCTCACACCAAGGGGCCCAGGTGTGAATCTTGGATCTATTACTAATTCAAGAGCAGAGACTTTCAGTTCTTTGGCAATTTTTCTCATTTCTAAAATAGGGCTCAAAATAATAGTTCCAAAAAATAAAATAATAGTCCTCCCTGTCTCACAGCCTTTTTTTTTTTTTTTGGAGGTGAAAATAATAAGATTTCCAATTTCACTCTGGCCTATCCTACTCCCAACCTCCTACTCCCTCTCTCTTCCACAGTGTGTTCTGGAAGTTAACTCCCTGCATCCTCCTGCTCTGGGAGTCCTGTTCGTCATCTCATGCCCAACATAACACAGAGCCAGGAGGAGAGACGGGTGTTCTCCTAGCTCTGTGTTGCCACGTGGACCCTGTCATTCTTCCACACTATGGCAATAGTCCACCTTTCTGGAAGCACCACTGCCTGATCTCCCACTGTTTAATCCTTCTCATCACTGTCCGCTTCTCAATCGTTCTTTCAGTCTAAGGGTTTTGATGTTAGTCCTCCTCTTCATTCTGTCCTGCATCACTGTGGAAAATCTCCTTGCTCAGGAGCATGACCCATCAATGCCCTAACTTTACACAGCCTTGATGTCCCCGGCTCCAGCACCCTCCACCTGCACTCCAGCGATGCTCCCAGGGCTACACCTTTAATCTTCTCAGCACCCCAAGCCCCTCTGCGGCTAACATCTTCACTTCCAGGATTCCTGCTTTCTGATCCCAACATTCCACCCTTTGGGCTTTCTCACTCCATTAACTCAACACCAGCTTTTCTACTCCATTGAGGTCCCCAGCTCCTCAATTCTTGTCTTTTTTTCTGGACCCATCAGCTCCTCCCGGTTTTCGTTACTTCCCTACAAAGCCTGGCCCCATGGTGGAGTATATCAACCCGGCTCTCAGAAACCTCATCTATTGTCTTCCTACCTCACCTTCTCTAAAACTCAATACGGCACTCCAAATTAATCAAATTGTCTACTCTCCCTGCACTCATAGCCAGATTATGGTGCTGCTGGAGAATAAAAAAAAAAAATCACACTGCCATACAGATGAGGTTGCCACAGAGCCACAGTCCCAATCCCAGGAGGCTCAGCCCCAGATGGCAGCTCCACCCCACACCCTCACCATCCTTCCCAGCCCCCCGACCTCCCCTGCCTCTGTCCTCCCGACAATGGACCTGCTCCTCCACAGAGAAATTTGAGGCTATTAGACATGCACTCCCTCAATGTCACACCCTTTTACCTAGAAAATGACTGTCCTTACACTATCTTTGCCTCTTCCCCTCCAATGTCAAAAGAAGAGGTGCTGCCCTCCTTCCAAGGCTAAACACTTCTAACCCATTGTGTCCTCTGAGACTTAGCTCCACCGATCATCTCCTCTCAAATATGTTTCTGATGCTTCCTCCTCCACTGATGTCTTCTCCTTAGCAGATGCACTCAAGTCTCTCCATCTGAAAATGTCTCTGTCTCTCTCTCATGCTCCCACACACATACCCAAATTCCCCCTTCAATACACCCAATGTCCACTGTGAGGTAATACCTTCCCTTACTTACTCTTCAGTCCTAGGCTCCTGGGAAGAGTCTCAACTTTCTCTCCCTCCAACACTCCTAAACCTCCTCTACCTATTTTCTGAAATGGCTGTTGCACTGTTATGGAATTAAGGCCACTCACTCTAAAGCACTGGGCAGTCTTAACCTTTCTGACTTTCCTGAAACTCTTCTTTGGATTTCTACAAGACTATTGTTTCCCTTTCAATACCTCCATCTGTGGCCACTCCTTCTCAATCTCCTCTACTTCCACTCTCCAAGTGTTGGTGGGCCGCAATCACACTTTTATTATTTTATTTTTATTTTCTCATTTTTACATCGTGCCTGTGTTACCTCATCCATACCCATTGCTTGAGCTATAAGCAATATGATAAAATCTCCCTAAGCTATAGCCAAGACCTGTCTTCCAGCTCAACCCATTTTATGCCTGCTTGTCTGCCAGGATTAAGTAAGTGCAAAACTGAACTCATTTTCTTTCTAACCAAGCCTGTTCTGCACTTCTCATCTTGGTGAATGGTACCATGAGCCACCTAGCCACCCACCCCAGAACTCCACGTTATCTTACATAGGTCCCTCATTCCTCTGTTCCATTACACAATCATGTATACAGGGCTGATGAGTCTGTCTTCTTAATAGTTCTCAAATCTGCTCTTGCCTCTCAAATTCCACTACCGTGGTCTTAAAGGTCCTCATCACTTCCTGCTGTCCGCCCTCTACAATGAACTAAGGTTTTTTTCCAAAACACAAATAATCCTATTTCTCTCTTGCACTCGTCACTTAAGAGAGAGGTTGGATTCCTCAGCACAGCACAGAGGACAGGTTTGTGAGATATGGCAGGGCCTGTCACCCACCTTCTGCCCCTTCACCAGACAGGCCCTGCTTCTGGTTCTCTCCATCCTCCCGTGCCTTTCGCAGTGTGCTCCCTGGCATTGGGGGAGGACCCGTCTTCCCTTGGCCACTGTCAAATCCCAACTTATGCTTTAAAGTTTGCTGCAGACTCCCCCACTCCACGAAGTCCTGATCCCCCTGAGTGGTTAGCTGCACACTACTCTCCACACATCTGGACAGTCCAAGCCATGGCCCGTGGGCCACACGCAGCCCAGGATGGCTTTGAATGCAGCCCAACACAAACTTTCTTAAAACATTATGATTTTTTTTTCTTAGTTCATCAGATATTGTTTGTGTTAGTGTATTTTATGTGTGGCCCAAGACAATCTTTCTTCTTCCAGTGTGGCCCAGGGAAGCCAAAAGATTGGACACCCCTTGCCTAAAACCTGTCACAATGCAGCTTTCTATCTCTTCCATTGCACCATGAGCTCTTTGCAGGGAGGAACTTTTGTCTTTTTCATCTCTTTATCACCAGAGCCAGCAAGGTATCCAGCCATAACAAGCACTCAGCAACTGTTTGTAGAAGGAAGTAAGGAAGAAATTGGTCTTTATTATAAAGTACTCCCACAACTGGGAAATAACATTATTATCTGAACATTACTAACAAAAATACACATATAATGACTGAGATTTGCCATTGGAAGAAGTCACCACAACCCTATGCAAATCTCTAAATCCTTCCCTTTTCTCTCAGTCCAACACTTTCATAATTCTACCTCTTCTCTCCAGTGGTAAACTATGGTAAACTCCACCCATAGTTTACCACTCCAGACAACCTCCCACTGACTCCTGAATATCCTGGCCTCCTATCTTTCTGCCACAGCTTCTCGGCAAACTGAGGCTAATCCAGCTACCTGCCTTCCCTGCTCTCACAGCCAGGCTATGAGCATGCTGGAGGAAAACCACACAAACCTGCAGATTTAGGGCTGCACAGAATCATCTGCCCCAGATGATCCTTTGAAATTATAGGGCAACATTTCATGTGTCCTTCATTGACCATCATTCCTGTTTCCCAAACCTGTATCACGTATTTTCTTTTTTTTTATTATTATTATACTTAAAGTTTTAGAGTACATGTGCACAACGTGCAGGTTTGTTACATATATATACATGTGCCATGTTGGTGTGCTGCACCCATTGACTTATCATTTACATTAGGTATATCTCCTAATGCTATCCCTCCCCCTTCCCCGGATTAAGAAAATGTGGCACATGTATCACGTATTTTCAAGCTCCCAGTCCCGCACCTGATGCTTCCCCGCCCACCCCATTCCTCTCAGGAGAAAACCCTGCCTCCTACTTTTCTGCACAAGTTGAGGACATCATGTGAGAGTCTCTTTAATTTCCTAGACACCCACTCCCTAGCCTCACACGCCTTTTTTAATGCAGTTTCAGGAAGAGGTGGCTTTTCCCCATCCAGTCTAACAGCACCTCTGCATCTGACTCCCTCTGTCTCCATAGAAACGTGACTTACTGGCTGTCCTCTTTCTCCTGAACCTACTACCTACTGGCCTGTTCCCCTCACGCCTCTGACATCTTAAAACAAAACCAACAAATGAAACCTCCCTCCAGTCTTGCGTTACCTTCTAGCTTCCATTCCCTACCCTTCCATTTCCCATCACAGTCAAGTGTCTTTAAAAACACTTTTTTGAAGTATTTCAAACATTTCAGAAAAGTAGGGAATAATATGATGATCATCATTTCATGTTGTTTTTCCCTAATAAAACAAGACAACCGGAGCTAAAACTCCCTCAAGCCCCTCCCCAGTCTCATTACCTTTCCTTCCTCCCTAGAGGCAACCACTGACCCAAAATTAGTCTTCCTGTCCATGATTATGCACTTCTACTGCAGATGTTCCTATAAATATGTAGTACTGCTTTTCATGTCTGTACATTTACATAAGTGATATCATATTTCTCATATTCTGCCACTTGCTTTTTACTCAACATTATATTTTCAGGATTTATCCTTGTTAATACATACAGCTCCAGTTCATTTTAATTTTTGGCAAGTGCTCCATTATGTGATGATATACTACCATTTGTTTTCTAGTTCCTTAGAAGAGCGGTTTCTATGCTATGCTCTTTCTACATCTCCTCTCCCATCCCCCCTTTTACCTCTCCAGCCTGCCTTCTGCTCTTCTCACACCACTCAAACTGCCCTTGTCAGGGTCCCCTGTGACCACATTGCTGCTAAACCCAGAGGACACTTTCAGCCTTTGTCTTCCTGGCCCTCTTTGCAACATTCTTCTCTAGACTTCCTTCTCCTGGGGCTCTCTTCCTTCCTTCCCCCTCTCTGAGCTCTCAATCACCATGACCTTCGTGACTATCCTTCAAGACCAGTGGTTCTCAATGAGGTTGGGGAGATTTTGTCCCCAAGGGACAACTGACAATGTCTGGAGACATCCTTGACAGTCACCCCTGGAAAAGAGGTGCTACTGGCATTTAGTGGGCAGAGGCCAGGGATGCTGCTCAACATCCTACAATGCACAGGACAGTCTCATAGCACGATGAATCATCCAACCCCGACTGCTAGCAATGCTGAGGTTGAGAACCCCTGGTCTAGATGTTGGTCTTCTACGAGGTTCTGATCTGAGCCCTCTTCCCTTCCTACTCTCCACTCTCTTCCTGGGTCACCTTGCCTACTCTTGGAGCCTGCAGAAATAGCTGGACAGGCTACAATTTCCTAGGATTCCCAGAGATCCCACTAAACATGCACTGAAGACGTTTCCAGCCCAACAGCTTGCCTTGAGGGCTGGACTTACCCGGACGCTGGGCCGCTCTGGAGGGACCTCGGACACCATGTTGTGGTTGGGTATGTCACTGTTGGTGGTAGCCGGGCGTTTCCCACCTGTTTTATTGGACATGTCCAAGGTCGATCTGATTTCAAGTCGACCAGAGAAAAGAGATTGGTGAGATCCAAGAAACAATGGAAACAGCCCATCCTTTTTCCACACCCTGCCACCCACTGTTTCAGCATCAGCACAAAATTAGATCTCTTGAGTGCCATTGAGGGGTCACCTCAGCCACTCCTTTAGCCTTTCTGAAATTATATGTCAGGGATCTTGGACATTTATTTTATTTATTTTTTGAGACAGGGTCTTGCTGTGTCACCCAGCCTGTAGCACAGTGGCACAATCAAGACTCACCACAGCCTTGAATGCCTAGGCTCAAGTGATCTTCCCACCTCAGCTTCCAGAGTAGATGGGACCACAGGCATGGGCCACCATGCCTAGCTAATTTTTTTTTTTTAGAGAGACAGGGTGTCACTATGTGGCCCAGGATGGTCTTAAACTCCTGGACCCAAGTGATCCTCCCACCTTAGCTTCCCAAAATGCTGAGATTACAGGCATGAGCCACCTGTTCCCAGCCCTGGACATTTATTTTAAAATCTAGACCCTGGGGATCTAGAAATCCTTTCCTTCTACTTTAAAAGACACAACTGCTTAGTGGCCTATGAGAGTAGATTAATTATCCTCTTTTCTTTTTTTCTCCTTTCATTTGGTGAGCCAGGATCCACAGTGAGAGGAATTAGCATTTGGCTCTCATGATCATATCAGATTTTCTCAGCGCTTCCGTCAAAGGCCCCTGGGTGCTATGCCAGCCTCATACCTGTCTTCTACTCCATCAGCTCAACCTGTGGGGTGCACCACCCTGGCTTTTGCTAGACCCTAGGAAAAGTGGATGAGGGTGTCAAGCCAGATGGGTCTCAGATGCTTCCAGTCCTCAGAACCGAGGTGAGTCACTGCAAAGCCCTTCTGCTTTCCTTCCCCTCCCTGTTGCCTTCTGCTTTCCAGCTGCAAGGAGGCAGTGGGATGGTAGTGGTTAAGGGCAGAAAGCCCAAACAGCAAGTAGGGGACACACTTACATTTTCAAGTCAAATTTTTTGTTTTCCTCTGGGACCTGGCCAGTCACTGGGTGTAGAAATGTGTTCCGTCTTTCATTGTGGCTGTAGAGGGAAAAACAGAAGAGTTGTGGTAAAGATGAAGAAGGCAGAGACAAAAGCCAATGCGTGGACAGACCCTGGGTGGTGACAGGGACAGGTGATCATGTAAGGAGCTTGTGCCTCTGTCCTCCAGGGGGATCCATGGGAGGCCTGGGCTGACATCTGGATGAGGGTGGGGGCGGGGTGGGGGAAGGAAGAGATGAAGCCTGGTCACCTCCCACTAGTCAGTGCTAACTACTTACTAGAGTTCTCTGAGGCTGGAAATAAGCCACACTGAACTCTTTCAGTGGTTATCCTAAGTGTGGGGAAGAGGGGTTCCAACAGCCAATTCAGCACATCAGGACCTCACGCATGGCAGGTTCTCTCCCAGGGACGGCGTCTGCCAGTGAGCCACATAAAAAAAAAGCTCCCCCATTATTTGCTGAAAAAACTTTCTTGTGACCTTGGACTCCTCCTCCTTCTCCTGCTTTTGCTCCGTCTCTTTCTTAAAAGGAAATGGGAGCTCAAAAAATTCCATTCTTGAGCTTGGGCTTGGACCCACCCACACCCTAAGTCCAGGGTCTCCTGTCTAAGGGCTGTTTGATGTCATTGAGACCTCAGGGGCTGTCAGGCATGAAGGTCAGTGCTGGCTCAACAGTCCAGTCTCATTAAGGGATGCTGTGGCCAGGAGAGGGGCAGGGCGTTGTGAGGATGGCCTGCCAGGAAGCAGAAGGGAGCAGGAACCCAGGGGTTGGGGGGTGGGGGGTAGGTGCAGAGGCAGATGGGGAGCAGCATCGTGGAGCCTCCTTGGGAAGACCTGCTGTGGCTCCTCCGGCTGGCTGAGTGTCAGGACAGTTCCCCAGGAGGCTCTCAGGGGAGATGGGGAGGAAGGCAGCAGACAGAGCGCAGAGGGGCTGATGCAGCGGTCTAAGCCATAATGGCAACCCCCAAGATGGATCCAGTAAGCGGTGACTACTTGGCAAGAATGTAGCAGTGGAGATTCAAGCATTCAGCCAGTGGAGGGACTAGATGAGTTAAGGGCCTTTTCACCCATTCCTCTTGAGAAATACTGTGAGAACCCAGAGTAGGTGCCAAACTCCCGCAAGGAACAGGCACTAGGACAGAGGCCACGGAGACAGGGCCACTCAAGCACACCCACAGCAAAGAGCTGGCTCTGCTTGACAAGTGGCAGGTCAGCCAGCAGCAGAGGAAGGAGATCTTAGCTTAGTCCCTTCAGTTGTATCAGAGAAGGAAAATAACCTTTTGGGGGCCCCCTTTCAATAGCCCAGGACACATCCCAGCCCTTGGGCTGTCTGCTAAAGCTAAAGATAATATCAAAGAGTGTTTTTTTTCAGTTTCCAAAGCTATCGTGCTCAGATGTAATCCAAAGACATGCAGGAGATAAAAGCACAGCAGGCAGTGCCTACAGTCTATGTGGAAATCTGGGCTTCGCAGCCCAGGCTTGCCAGCCAGGACCCAAAAACCAGGCGCGTGTCCACCAGGCCTGGGTTCTGAGTCTAGCACGTTGATAATCCACTCCCCACTTCCCAAACTTTATTCCCACCTCCCTCCCAGGTCCAACAAGGACACACTCCTCAATTTAATCACAGGGGATCTTTGCAAGGAAGGGCAACTGTTTCCCGTTACTCTTGTCTGCCCCTAAATCTGTCCCATCTGGTGGTCTGGGGGGCAAGCAGTCTGTGGCAACTACGGTGTCCTTTGAGGTGTCAAGTTGTCTGCTTTTTCTCAGTGGTGCAGGGCACCCGCCCCCTGCCCTGACCCTCCAGTCTCCTTCTGCTCTGTGTGTTCCCAATGGTAACTGCTGGAATCTTCCCTGCAGGCACTGGCACAGACACACACACACACACACACACACACACACACACACACACACAGAAGCATACACACACAGTCTGCTGCCAACCATCACAAGACTTCTAGGGAATGGCACATCTCTCCCAGCCCCAGACTTTCCTACCCAGCAACCCCTACAAATGACGTCCTCATTCTATCCCGGCACTACCAATTTCAAAATAGCTTCCCCTTCACAAGCACTGCAATGCAGCAACCATTGACCTAACTATGCTTCCTTCTCCAGGTCATCTCAAGCAGACCCCTCACTCTGAAGCCCCCGGATCCAAGCAGGATGAGCTGCCAACTCAGCTTGCTCTGACTTGACTTGGCTCATGATCCGTGGAAGACATCCCTACCTGACCCGTCGATCAGCCCGAAACTTCAACATCTTTTTGGCAGCTCCGTCCCCAGTTTGGCAGCCTCAGAGGACCCGCCGGCCACCCTGATCCTACCATGCCTCTGAGAAGTAAGTCCTCTGGTCCAACTCGTAAGGCTGTGGCAGAGATGCAGAGTGATTGGTGGCAGAGTCTCTAGCAGTTCTCCCTCCTCCTGGCTCTGGCTCTGGAGAACCAGGAGGGCACTCTCCTTGGGTGGTGGTAGGGGTCGCCTAGGTGCCCTAGTAGGCCTGTGGCTTCCTGGTATTCGGCCAGAATGCTACTGGTCAGAGGACTGGAGGCAGAATAAACAAGGAGGGGATGATATCCTCCCCATTCAGCACCCCAAGGAGAAAATGCTGAAATGGAGAGACAGGCATACACGGAGCAGGTGTAGCACTCCCAGGTAGTCCGACCTCAGTGAGCTAAGGACGCAGAGTAGCTGGACGGGTGAAGGAGTCTGGGGCTGCATTCCCATCTGCACGGCTGAAACCCATGCCAGCCCGACCTGTAGGGAGACAGTCCTCCTGCCTCCCCAATTCTCAACCCACAATACAGGCTCCTGAGCTGAAAATCAACTTGCTTCTCAGAGATCCTTCAGATCCTGTGGGCATAAGGGTTAAATGAAGCTCCCGATTCATCTGCTGTTATTGCTGCCGCTGCTGAGAAGCTGAGATTGATTGAGCAGTTCTCCCTTCTCTTCGGTCAGCCTGCCCAGCCTTCTTCTGTGTGGACAGGAGCATAATGAATGAAGGTCCTCTGCCCCTGTCCCTCCGACTTGCTCCCCTCAGACAGCACGGGGTTGCTTTCCCTCCCTGTGTGGCAGTCCTACCGATGAGAAGCAAGTCGACCAGATGGGCGTGGATGCTGTGGAACCAGAGCTGGTGGCTAGGATGGGGCTGCTCAGGCAATATTAAAGGAGAGCTTCCTCTCAAGGCTTGCAAGGAAGAGGGCAGCAAATGGGGCTTGAGAGGGGGTCACTGTGTGTTTATGGCTGAAAATCTTCCCAGACACGAGATGATACATTCCAGCTGGGGACTGTCAGATCTGCTCAGAAGCAAGGAGGTTTGTATCGATGTTAATTCCCCTGAATTCTTCAGCGGCTAAAGATGGTCAGCGCTCCCCCCTTTCCTAATGTCCTTCATGTCTTAGGATCCTTGGACTGCAAGGGCCTTCCGAAGGTCATCGCTGCCATCCCCCTGCTTCTAGGCAAGCCTGTTCTCCAATCAATCCTCATTAAGTTCCTTGGTTTTCTGTAAAGAGTTCTAGCAAAGGAGGCTCCAGACCCACTGCTATCTTATCCTGCCAAGATGTTCTTTTTGATATCACGTTTCAGTTCCTCTGGCTTTCTATATTATTCCATTTTGTCTTCACATGACAGATTCCTTTTTTGACCAACGTGGTTCTTTTTAGCAGCACCAGGCAGTCTGTTGACATCACAGTCTGTTGCTATGGCAATTCTGTGATGTCACAACAGACACTGAAAGGAAGGGGCTAATCTAATTTTTTGGATCGAGCAAGAACTTGATTGGGGAATAATGTGATCAGTGAATGGAAAAGCAAATGGACAACATTATTATTTAACCCATAATGAGACAAGTTGGTAGGATGTAACTGGGGTCAACCGCTGCTGATATTTAAACAGCTTAATCTTAAATCCAGAAGGTCAATATATTCAGCTATTTCGTGGGACTTTTGCAAATGATTTATCCTGGTGACAGGAGGCCTCGGTTTTCAGATCACATCCTTTCCCTGTCCCTAATCCAGTTTCTTGGGCCCTCTCCTGATGCCGGCTTGAGGTTCCTGCCCATACATAACAGGTGCTCGATAAATATTTGTTGAATGAATGAATAATAGAAACTCTCCAGCCCTGACTTAATTTTTAACCACCTGCATTTGGAGTTTGACATTCTATCACCGAGGGCTTCCCTATCTTAGCTCTCTCTTAAAATTAATTACTTCCTCTCCATGAGAGAAGCTTTGCTTCTGCCCCCTCGCCCCCTCACTCAGCTTCCCTGCCTAGCTCCCCCTTGAATACATAGCTTGGCTTTGATCCACCTTCAGTAGGACGGGAAGAAAATTAAGCTCATCTGCACAGAAGGAGGAGGGGGTAGGGGCGCTTTGGGAAAATGAGCTTTCTTCCTCTAGAAGGCAAAAATATCCCCTTTCACTTCAAGCTGAGCTCAGGGGCCTCCCACAGCCTTTGCTTAAGCTGCAAGTTAAATTACTTCTCCTATGCCCTGTAAAGATAGCACAAGGGAGTAGGAACGAAGGAAGGCTCAGGGGCTTCCCCTGCTCATCAAGAGCTCTGAACTCCTAGGAATTAAGTCTGCACACAGAATGTCTAGCAGCAGTTCTTTCCCTTTGCCAATAAACTGCAGAGTATGGCAAATTTTCATTTTAGTTAGACATCAAGAAGAACTTACAAGAGGCAGAACATTAAAAAGGGAAACAAGGACAGGTAATCCGTTTTCTCCTTCTTCTCTCCTTCCTTTTGGGATGTCAAAAGGCTTCCATTTGTCAAGGACAAATGATTATGAATCCATGAATACATACCCAAATGGACCTTTCAAATTCCACCCAAGAGAAGGGAAAATCTCAAGTGGTAAAGGAGATTGTGCGGTGGAGGTAGAAACAGCCCTAAACTCCAGAGCAGTCCAGTAGGTGGTCACTTATCCACAATGAGGGTGGCCCTGATGGCAGTGCCATCAGTGGAAACAAACATGGCAGGACCAAACATTCAGTCCAAGATCCAACCTGAGTTAGGAATATGACTTTATTTCTTGGGCCCTTAGTTTTCTCATGTGTAAATGAGGTACCTTCTAACTACATGAAATAATAGTGCTCACTTCACCAGCACAGACACTAATTCTATGAAATAATAGCTGTAAACTTGCAAGATATAGACCATTTTTTGCAGAAGAGATAATGGCTATGATCATTCTACTTAAAAACAAATTAAGATATATGCCAGATGAAGGAGCGAAAAAATGAAAAATACTTAGTCCCAGGCTTAAGAAGATCGTGTATGGGGCACAGGCTGGGAGTGCCAGGGGCAGGCACTCTGGAAGTCTCAAGAGCGATAAATTACAAAGAAAAGAAGCAGATCCTCTCTATTTTTCCAGGCCTTTGTCTCTGCACCTATTTAAAGCTTTCCTGTAGTTCAAGAGACATCCTCAACCCCTACAGTACCTCACATAGAGATAACTCTGCATTGCTTCATCTCCAAACATCCCCCTGGAGAGTCAGCCTCCACGTGCAGTATACCTGGCACTACACTGTCAAGAGTGGCAAAATTAATCCAAGTTTCACGATCTTTTGCAGGCATGTATGTTTACACATGCACACACACTCCCAGGCTGGATGCCCAGAACCCCACTGTGATCAATATTGAACGACTGGAGAAATACTCCACTCCTTCCACCCACTGGGCCTCTCTTGATTATCTGCTGTACACCAAGCTGCTTCATTTCCATAGCTCCTGAGAATCTGCTGACAAAGAATTAGCCCTGGCCCAGCTTCCCCATCCTGAGGACGCCTTGGCTTCCAGCATTACAGCTCATTAGGTGGAGAGAGGTTTGCATGCAAGGCAAGTGGAAAGGGGGTCCCATCCCTTCCACTTCCTTCTTTCTCCCAGCTAGCAAATTCCAAGCCGAGACTGTCCATGCTCCAGAGAGGATTTCTGCTGCCACAGAGGAGGGGAAGGTGGGGAGAAGGTTGGCTCCTGCTCTGTGCCTCCCCATCTGGATCTCATCATTATTTTCAAGGAGGCTTATCTGCTTCAGCATCCTGTCCCAATTAAAAACCAACTCAGTTTATGTTTCCAGCCATCTTCATGCACCTGATTCCTGAAGCTCCCCCTGCCATTTCCAGGAGAAAATACACTTTCCTAGCCACTTCTCATCAGAGGCCCTCTGTTTTCCTACCTATTGCTGCCACATAAAGAAGAGGTCAAAGAGGGTCAGGCCCTGGCAGCACTTCTAGGTATTTGCAGGTGGGAAGGAACCCCTCCAAACAACACTGCCTTAGCCAGGCATGGTAGCACATGTCTGTAGTCCCAGCTACTCAGAGGCAGAGGCAGGAGGATCACTTGAGCCCAGGAGGTCGAGACTGCAGTGAACTATGATCACACCACTGCACCCCAACCTGAGGCACAAGACCCTCGTCACTAAAAAACAACAGAGCAAGGCCCCCATCTCTAAAAAAAACCAAAAACAAACAAACAAAAAAGGCCGGGGGCGGTGGCTCACACCTGTCACCCCAGCACTTTGGGAGGCAGAGGCGGGCAGATCACGAGGTCAGGAGATCAAGACCATCCTGGCTAACACAGTGAAACCCTGTCTCTACTAAAAATACAAAAAATTAGCCGGGCCTGGTGGCGGGCACCTGTAGTCCCAGCTACTCAGGAGGCTGAGGCAGGAGAATGGCGTGAACCCAGGAGGTGGAGCTTGCAGTGAGCCGAGATTGCGCCACTGCACTCCAGCCTGGGCAACAGACAGAGATTCCGTCTCAAAAAAACAAAAAAAACAGAGTAAGACCCCTGTCTCTAAAAAACAACAGAGCAAGACCCTCCTGTCTCTAAAAACAACAACCCCTACTGTCTCTCTTCCATGTGCTCCTTGAAGATCAAAATACCAGTTCTCTGGGTGCTGGGAACCAGCTGCCAGTGGCTGTCACCCAGCCTTGTATTTGCTTTCACCTTTCTTCTCTGCCCTTGCTCATCCCCCCTTTGATGCCACAGTTATTTCCAAACTGTCAAGAAGATGGTACCTCCCTGCCCCAAGCCAGTTTATTGAAATGTTCTAAGCTACTCGGCTGCATGTCTAGGAGACAAGACTCATGCTGCTCCCTTTCCTGCTTCACTCTGCCCAGCCACACCGCACCCCCAGCCCCATCCCAAAACCTGTTATGGGCAGTTATGGAAGGCTGGGGGCCTTCTACGTGAGCTCAGCTCCCACCACAGGCAGAAGATAGAAGAGATGGCTCCGTGGACAAGGGAGAGAAATCACAAATCAGGGGGCCAGGTCCAGGTTTCTTCCCTTCCAGCTCAGGTGCTGTCCTTCCCCCATTTTCTCACTGTAGTGTCTCCCAGCCCCTGCTCTGGGCCTGGGTGGTCCCTTATTCCTATGAGAGGAGATAGGAAGGCCTAAGATGGCAGACTGAGGGCAGGAGGACAAGGTGTACTTCAGTCAGGGTAACGGGTTCAAGCTCATGTGTGTGCACGCACGTGTGTGTGCATGAGAGAAAACATGGATACTATACAGGGGAACTTCATCCTGACCTCCCACCCTAGCTTGGTTCATCTTTAAACTGGTTGTTTTACTTTAGGGAATTCCATCTGTCTGCTGAAAAATGAAGACAACCAGAGTAGATAGCATAACTCTGCCAGTGATTCAAATACTGAAGCTCTTCCATGTTGGTGGGTGAAAAGCTGCTCCCCCAAGTCCCTCGAGTGTCCCTGCCCCATCTCTGGGCCAGGGTCTGAGACCTCCTCACATCTCCATGACCCAGAGACAAAAGAGTTAATGCCTGGCACCACAGGGCCCTCCAAGACTCCAGGCCAGCATCCTTTCTGGTTGATGAATTATTGAATATCATTCCCGGGTACAGCCAGTCCTTAACTGTCTCAACACTGAAGTGTCTTCCAATTGTGGGGAACTGCGATTCTACCACCCAGAAGCTGCCATGGGCAGGCTGGGAGACACTTTCTCCTTCACCCTGACCCAAATTGGAGAACTGGGGCAATCCAGCTCCCTGGAGCTCCTCCTTGTGCTGTGTGCTCTTGTTCCCTTCTAAAGAGAGGGGGAATTCAAAGGAGAACCAGCTGCCTACAGCTCTGGGTTTTCCTCCTCTCAGCCTTTCCTCAGTAGCTAAGCCAGACAGAAGCAGAGAAAAAAGGCCCCAGCCCCCTCGCCTCCAAGTTGCCTTCTCCTGACAGCCAGCAATGTGGAACGGATCCCAAGGGGTAACAGGGCAGGGCAATAATTAATTATGCCCCCCCACCGCCCCGCCGCCTTCCAGCTCTGAGTTGAATCTCAAACCCCTGCCCTTCAGTGGCTGAGGCAGCCCAGCTGTCCGCCGCCGGGTCTATGGAAGGTCATTGAAACCATGTCTCTGCATCCCTAACTCAGCAGATCTGCTTCTGGTGTCCTACGGAGAGCAGCGACCCCACCCTGCCCCACCCAACGAAAGGAATTTTACAAAGTGGGTGTTTGGAGAGTTATGAAGCTGGCTGATCTCTCTCCTTCCCCATCCTCAAAAGCTACCAGTGCCTTCTTGGTTCCCAATCCAGCAATTTGAGAATCAAGCTGTCTGGTATCTTAGTTTTCTCATTTTAACAGTAAAACAATGGTATTGAGTGATGCCTTGTTGAGCAGACAACACAAATCTCCCACTGGACCAGAGAGCAGAGGAAGAAAGGTTATGATGCTCTGAAGGCATGTGGAATGAAGAGAAAAATAAAACGCATGCAATCTCTGGTCCTTACACTGGGAGGGAGGCAAGGAAGGCCCATTTTAGAATCAGGGAAGCTGAGGTGCATTGTCCCAGCTATAGTGACAGGAGAGGTCAGAAAAATTTGAGTCTTGGGCTCCCTTCTTTCTGTTCCTGCGATGCACCCAATCTGAGCTCCCTGCCCCTAGGAAAGCAGGAGAGAGCTTCATGGTTCAGGGGGAGATGCCAGCTTTTCAAGGTCTGCTCCAAGAACACAGTAATGAAAGCCACAAACTCTTTCACTGGTAATATCTGTGGGCTACAGGTCTGGGGACTGTGTGTGATGTGGGCTGGGGGCTACCCACAAACTTTAGTCTGACAACAGCTGCCTGGATGTAGGGGCATGGAAGGGCAGCCACACAAACACTGTCCACAGCCTGGCCTTTATTGCTGTGCCCCTGCCCAGCACCTCACACACAGGGGAACTGAATAACTGTTTGAGTTTGATGGAGCAGCTGTAGGGCAGGCCAGCAGGCTCACCACTGCCTGGAGGAGGGGGCACGTGCTGTTCCAGTTGGGATGCTGAATAGCGGCTGAAGGAGACAGGAGCTCAGCCTCAAATCCCTCTCGCCGGGATCAGTGTGCACAGTGCATCTGCTTCATGCCCCCTCCTGTCCCTCCCCTCCCTACTGGCCAGCCAGACTCTGATAAGAGTCTACAAAGCAGAAGCTTTGCCCTGGGAAGAGGAAAGCAGTAAACCAGCCAGAGCTGGAGAGCAGGAGCCTCCTGGCTGGAGGGTAGCACAGCAAGGGTTGAGGGGCAACAGCAGGCTCTAATGTAGTGCTGCTCCTCACCTGCCCAGGGAGACCCATTCTGCCTCCGGCCCCCAAGGAGGGCTCAGCTGATGTTCTCTCTCAGACTGGGAGTAATAGGGTAAGCTGGAGCCAGGTGGATTGTGGGAAATTATGAACACCTCCTTTTGCCAGGAGCAAGGAATCTGGAACTTCCCCTGTACTTGGGGAGCTTGCCAAGGACTCTGAGGGCAAAGCGATATCCCTGCACTGCTGCCTGCTGGTGGGGGATCCAAAGGGAGCCTAGGAACAAGGGCCACCCAAGGAACCAGCCAGAAAATGACTGTGCCTAGGAGAGCACTTGCTGCAGACTGAGACGATCCTTTGTGAGCTCCCCTGACGCCCCCGAGAGGAAGAGGGAGATCTGGAAAGGGACTGGAGAGTTGTGAAAAAAGCTGGCACATGATGGCAAGGAATGGACAGCGTGTGGATTGTCCTTAAGGAAAAGGGTAAGGCCGGTGGTCTCAGAGTCAGGAGTCTTGGTAACTGACCACTACTGAGTCACTGTCCCTTTCTGGGTCTCAGTTTCCCCACCTGCAACATGTAACGATACTGGAGTTGCTGGGAGGACTAAATATTTAAAACCTCTAGAAGAATGCCTGGCACATTGAGTTGTTTAGTAGTGGCTAATGTTATAATCATTAATAAAATAAGGGAATACAATAAATAGCACTATCCTAAATTTGCACCAAGTTGATAGCCACTAGCCGTATTCTATCTTGAATAATTAAAATTAAATAAAATTAAAATTTCAGTTCCTAGTTACACTAGCCACATTTCACTGTGTCTCAAGAGCCACAGTAGCTAGTGGTTACCATACGGGACAGAATAGTCACAGGACATTCCATCATTGTAGAACATTCTATTGGACAGCACTAGGCTAGATGTTCTCTAAGCCACCTTCCAGTTCTAATAGTTTTGAATTCTATGAAATGCAATTCTAAGCCAGTGTATCCTTCCACCAGCTGATGAGCTCAGTGTCTTCAGTAAATACAAGTTCCCTCATAGACCTAAACTAAGCTAAAAAGAAAGGAAAATCTGCTGTCAACAACAAAAAGTTAAAAATCAGAAATGATATACTCCAAAGTTCACTCAGAATTAATCTGGACAATCCATTGTTTTCGTTTTTTTGGGTTTTTTGTTGTTTTTGTTGTTGTTGTTGGTTTTTTTTTGGTTGTTTTTGTTTTTGTTTTTTTTGAGACACGTTCTTGTTCTGTATCCCAGGCTGGAGTTCAGTAGTGCGATTTTGGCTCACCGCAGGCTCCGCTCCCTGAGCTCAAGCAATTCTCCCACCTCAGCCTCCCCAGTAGCTGGAACGTCAGGCACGGGCCACCACGCTTGGCTAATTTGTTGTATTTTTAGTAGAGACACGGTCTCGCCGTGTTGGCCAGGCTCATTATTTTTAAATCACATGCATTAAGACTCCTCTGCACAGTTTGAAAGTATCATTACTAACAGCACTGGCCTGGTAGGAAACACTGGAAAAGGTCATCCAGCAGCTTAAGGAGGCTGGGAGAGAAGAGTTGGAGAAGGAAGAAGAGTTGGGGAGGAGGCTGGAGACACAGAGGACCTGTTCCTCCCTCCTGCTTTCCTTTTCCTTCCTGGATTGGCCAACCTCTAGCTGACGCTTGGGGGAGGAGGAGGAAAGGGAGGTCTTCTGTGGGGCCATTTGGTCCAGAGCAGGAGAAGCTGGCATGGAGGAGGACAGGGTAGAGGAAGTACCACCAAGGACAGCAGGCTTAGGATTCTTCCTTCCCTGCACCTCCCCTTCCCCACCCAGCACTCATCCAGACCTGGATCCTATGGAAATCACAGGTAAACAACCTGTTGCTAAGCAGACATCACAAGAAGCAGGTGCCAGAGAGCATCCACTGATAACCGGGGCTTACAGAGGGGAGGGAAGACAATCTCAGAGGAACGGAAGAGGTGCTCCTAGGCCTAGACCTAGCCTAGAGAACCTGCTGGCTATAGCCCAGATAAGGAAAAGAGAGGGCCTGAGAAGGAAGGCAGGGAGGCAGTCAGACAAGGGACACTGCTGTTCCCACCCCTGTCCTGCCACGCAGCAGCCGTGAAGAAAGACTGGGCATGGAGGCTGTGACAAGGAGGAATAGAGTACTCTGGGAGGGGAACAGAGAGGAGGAAAGGGAAAGGGATGCAGCACAGGTGCCAGCCGGGACAGAAGCCGGCCTCCATAAGTGACACCTGAGTAACAGGTGAGCCTGCCTACACCTGTTGGAGTATATGAGCAACTATTCTGCACCTGCAACTTCTGGCTGGGCCAGGAAATAAGACCAGCTGCACAATTTGCGGGCCCCTTGTGCAAAACTTAAGGATTTCAAGACAGCAATAGCAGAGCATTAAACCAAGCATGTGGGGCAACTGCACAGTTTGCATCCCCCATGAAGCCCCCCTGCCCTGCCTGGAAATAACAATCCCAGTATACTTCTCCTGGGAGTGTAGGGATGGAGGTTGGCTAGTCACATTTGTGGCTGACTCTCAATATGAGGCAGAACACAACAAGTATCCCCGTTCCTCTCCTATACTCTACTTCCCCTTCTTTCTTGGCCTCAAATGCCCAGAAACTTGGCTGCTTCTGCTCTCGCCCTGCTGGGTCTAGTGGCTGGCACCTTCCCCCTATTGTGCCTGGTTTCTGTTTGCCCATGGGCAGCCCAGCCAGAGGAAGCACCACAGCTGAAAGCCACAAGGGGGTTGGGTTTACCTTATCGCTCGAATCTGCTTTCTAAACTGGCACAGGGAGCACCCTGTTCCCACCTAATAGGCTCTCCAGAGCCCCGAGTTCCTCCCTAGGTTCAACCTAGCATCACTATGTCATCGAATCTCTTTCCTCCCAAGAAAGAGGCAAGGGAACAAAAGGGCTCCTAGCTGGGGGCGGGAGGAGAGTAAAGTAAGCACTTCCTTTTTGGTGACAGTCTCCCTCTTTTTTTTTTTTTTTAAATCACGTGGGCATTCATGAGTACACACACAGAGAGATAGCATCAGCTGAGAAAAGCCAGTGCGTCCACCTCCTCCTCCAAGCCAAGGAATTCTTGTCCACACCCCCTCCACAAAACTGTCATTAGAAGGTGCCAGGGTCAAAGAGCACAAATGTTTTGGAGGTTGAAGGGATGAGGGACCTGAAGGGGAAGTTGAGGGAATGGGGGCAACAGAAATCTAAATGCAAAAGGTTGGTTCTCTTTCTCCCTGGATTTCAGTTTTGTTCTCAACTGACAACCTTGTCTTCTTAATGAGTGAAGAGTTCTCCCCGCAACTCTCTGCACCCACCCCCGCCAGGTTCTGTCTTACCCTACATCTCACCACACCTGACTCTGCTAAGTAAAAGGATAAAACCAGGAGCACAGCCATGCCAGTCTCCTGTGGCTCTGTCCCCTCCACCTTCCTCCCGTGGCCCCATCCAGGAAATCGGCCCACAAGAGAGGCCGACGCTGCTTCTGACCAGAGCTACCGAGCGCCTCTCTGGAGACAATGGCTCAGAGAGAAGGAGGAAGACTAGCAGCTCCAGCTTTGTGCTCAGGGTGGCCACACAAAACCATTGTCTTGACATCAGGACAGACAATGGTTTGTATCTCTGGCTTCTGCGCTGAGCAGTTCACTCCCTTGGACTAAGATAATTTTAAAGATTTCCTTCTAATAAATAGTAATGATACTGGAATCTGGCCTCAAGCTGAGAATTTGTATCTGGTTGTAACAAAAGCCCACTCTGGCTGATAGAATGGGTATATCTAGGCTTCCTTTTCTGTTCCAGAGCCACCCAGACAAACATAGACCAGACAGATAACCACTTACTCACCGGCTCTTCTTTGCTGTTCCCTCTGCTGCCTCTAGCCCTGACTCCTTTCACACTGAGGAGTAGGGAGAAGGTTTTCCTTTAATACTCACCAGGTCCCTGGTGGGTAGCAATCATTAACAGCCACACATGCTGGCTGGCCTTAACCCCTTCAGTGCTGGGTTGCCTCAGCCAGCCGGAGCTGGCTGATGGACAGCCCTGTCCCTTCTACTCTGCCCTGAGAAAGTAGCAACTCCCACCTTGATGCCATCCACCTGAGTAATGCTGCCGCCTCCCATGTGGAGAAGGAGAGCCCTCTAGTCCCACCCAGGCCGCCCCGCCTGATTGGAGCACACTTGCAACCTGAGGCGTTTGGCTCTGGCACGATGCCCAATTGGATGAGCCCACATTATGAAATATTTGCCTGGCGGGCCAATAGAGGAACTGGGATCTGGGGGAGGGATGATATTGTTATTTATTCCTGGAGGAAGGAGAGCAGACAAAGATAGTCACAGCATCCCTAGCCCTGGGATGGGAAGCAGTGGGAAGGTGGTCTTCAGATCCATGGAACTGCCTCTAACTGCTCTGTCCAGGTAGAGTGAACTAATTCTTGAAGCTTTCTAAGCAATTTGAGCCTGGCTGTTCAGCTAGAGGGTTTGTTTTTATTTTTATTTTTTTACCTTAATGTCTCTCTGCGCCACTCAGAAGTTTGGAGAGCAGCACTAGGAATTGTAATAGAGATTAAGAGGAGAAACACATTGTCAGTCAAGGAACTGCTTCATATCTGCATAAACTATGCAACCACAGTTATTGTTTATAGTTCAAAGTTGCAGAAATTATTTTAGTGTCTTTGGAGGATACAGACGGAAGGTGAGCAAGAACAAGAAGAGATAAATTCCCTCTTTATCCTTTAAAAATAGGCAACTGATTTGGGGGAAATCTAAAAGTATCTACAAGCAGGACACATGCAAATCTATGCAGATGTGTGCAAATGAGCAGCGCCGGGCTTGTGAGAGTAAGTCCTTGCCAGGATTTTCCTCATTTGAGGAAGAAATTAGGTAGTCTCTAAACCCCATATCAGAGCATCTCACTAGAGCATAAGGAACTCAATAAGCCTATATTTATTGAGCATTTACTCCATATGAAACAGAGTGCCTTTAAGTACAGCCCAGTAGGATTTTTCTTTTTTACCATGATCATAAATGGGATATACAGAGAATACAAGTTCCCTCTCCCTACACACCCACAATTAATAGCCCCTTCTCCTTTCAGGCCCCAGAGGAGTGATTTGGCTACTCCTCCTCTTGCCAGCCCGGATTTAGTAGCTGGCACCTCCTCCTTATCACCCCTGGTTCCTGTTTGCCTATCAGTAGCCCAGCCACTGTGGCTCAGGACCCTGCTTTAAACCTGCCAGGGGGCCTTATCTTATCTCCTGGGCTGCCTTCCTAGCAGCCCGCGGGGTGGCTGGCTGGCCGGGTTCCTTAAAGGGGCTGCACTGCATTCCCACTTGCTCCATTCACCCTCAAGAGTACCCCAGAGATCTGGAGGTGTTCTACTTGTGTAGGGTCAGAATTTACTATACCACCCTTCCTTCCCATCCTTTACAGTCACAGCTACTGTAGAGCTGCTACTGAAATGATCTATGACTTAGAACAGAAAGATGCTCATGCTTTTAGAGCCATTGTAAATGTTTATCATGTCATGCAAATGCCCTGCCCCTTGATATTTTCAGGTTCCTGCTCTTTTAAATTCAATTTTCAAAGCAAGGGAGGAGAGGCTCAGGATACAAAGTCTATATAGAAAAATCAGTTGTATTTCTATATACTGGCAACAAACAATGAAAAAAGGAAATTTTAAAACACCATTTATAATAGCATAAAATTAAGGGATACTTTTGACAAGGGATGTGCAAGACCTATACACTGAAAACTATAAAACATTGCTGAAAGAAGTGAAATAAAATCCAAATAAAAGGAGAAAAATACTGTTTTCATGGATCAGGAGACTCAATATTGTTAAATTGTCAACTCTCCCCATATTTTTCTATGGATACAACACAGTGCCAACCAAAACCCTAGCAGATCTTTGTAAAGTTGACAAGCTGATTCTAACATTCACATGGAAATTCAAAGGATCCAGAATACTCAAAAGCTTTGAAGAAGAATAGGTTTGGAGGATTTATACTACCTGACTTCAAGACTTATTATAAAGCTACAGTTATCAAGACAATGTAGTGTTGGCATAAAGACACATATATAGATAAATGGAACAGAGTAGAGAGTTCAGAAATAAATCCACACATTTTGGTCAATTGGTTTTTGACAAAGGTATAAAGTCAATGCAAAGGAGAATGACAGGCTTTTCAATACATGGTGCTGTAAAACACATGAAAACAAACAAACAAACAACCTTGACCCTATCATTAAAAAATTAACTCAAAACGGACCATAGACATAAATGAAAGAGCTAAAACTACAATGTTTCTAGAAGAAAACACAGGAGAAAATCTTAGTGACTTTGCATTTGGCAAAGATGTCTTTAAAATGACAAAAAACGCACCATCAAGAAAAATCAATAAATTGAAATTTGTCAGAATTTAAGTTTGCTCTTCAAAAGACACTATTACAGGCCAGGCGCAGTGGCTCATGCCTGTAATCCCAGCACTTTCGGGTGCCAAGGTGGGGAGATCACTTGAGGTCAGGAGTTCGAGACCAGCCTGGCCAACATGGTGAAATCCCGTCACTACTAACAATACAAAAATTAGCCAGGCATGGTGGCGTGCACCTGTAATCCCAGCTACTCAGGAGGCTGAGTCAGAGAATCACTTGAACCCAGGAGGGGGAGGTTGCAGTGAGCCAAGATTGCATCACTGCATAGCAGCGTGGGTGACAGAGTGAGACCCTGTCTCAAAAAAAAAAAAAAAAAGACATTGTTACGAAAATGAAAAAGTAAGCCATAAACAGAGAAAATATTTGCAAACTATATAACGCACATAGGACTTTTATCTAGAACCTATGAAGAACTCTCACAACTTAGTATTAAGATAGCAAACAACACCAAAGTTATACACATGTCAAATAAGGTACATGAAAAGAAAACATCATTAGCCATTAGAGAAATGCAAATTGAAACTACTATGAGCTATCTCTACCCACACCCACTAGAATAGCTAAAATTAAAAGACTAACCATACCAAGTGCTGGCAAAAATGTAGAGGAACTGGAATGCTCATATACTGCTGGTGAGAATATAAATGGTACATCCTGCTTTAGAAAACAGTTTCCCAGTTTCTTAAAGAGTTTAAACATCCATGCACCATACAACCCATTGACTTCACTCCTAGGCATTTACCCAAAAAAAAGGAAAGCATATGTCCACACAACGACTTGTAGACAGATGTTCACAGCAGCCTTATTTGTGACAGCCCCAAACTACAAACAACTCAAATGTCCATGAAAACCTGGGTACAACGTATGTGTTACATGCATACAACAGAGTACTACTCAGCAATAAAAAGAAATGAATTATTGAAATATGCAGCATAATGGATGAATCTTAAAATATTTATATGGAATAAAAGGAGCCAGGCTTTCTTGAAATAAAAGTATTCATTTATGATTCCATTATATAAAATTCTTAAAAATGCAAACTAATCTATAGTGACAGAAAGCAGACGGGTGGTTGCCTGGGGCCAGGGTGGAGGGAGGGATTACAAAGAGGCAGGAAGAAACTGGGGAGTGATGGATATATGTTAATTATCTCAATTGTGTTTATGGTTTCACAAAATGCACCTAATTTTACCCTTTAAATATATACAATTTATCATATACCTCAATAAATCTATAAAAAAGAAAAGCCTTCAATTGAGACATTAAAACAACGACTGCTATTATTGGGCACACCCATTCTGTTTCACATGGTGATGGAATGAGGGTGGGAATGGGTATGGTTTCCTACTGACCTGCTTTAGTCTGACAGAAATGCTGGTTACAGGCAGAGATGAACATGTGTCCTGAATCCGCCTTTACTCTTCTCATGGATTTAGATCAAATAATGTAGCAGACCTGAATACGGTCTTCATCAAAATAAAGGATTATTTGTTCTATGACAGAAGGGAAAATATCAAATAAAATCCTTTACGGTTCACAAAGCACTGTCATCATTATCTCATTTGGTTCTTTTATGGTCTTATGAGGTGGGCAGAAAAGTGTTAGTACCACCCTCATTTTACAAAACAAAATCCCTGAAGCTGGAAGTGTTGGCTGAGATAACCCACCTCATATACCTGAGGCAAGGCTAACCTCGGGGTCTGTTAACCTCAGTCCGAAGCTCTTTCCTCAGGGCCACAAGGAGCTGCCCCGACCTGGCTGATGCCCACCTATGTCCCTCACCCGGGCACTATGTCCCTCACCCTGGCTGATACCCACCTGTGTCCCTCACCCTGGCTGACGCCCACCTATGTCCCTCACCCTGGCTGATGCCCACCTGTGTCCCTCGCCCTGGCTGATGCCCCCCATTTCCCTCACCCTGGCTGACGCCTACCTGTGTCTCTTGCCCTGGCTTGGTCTTTGTGGTGCTCACCCAGCACTGGGTGGATGCTCCTGGAGCATGCCAGTGGCAGCACCTGAGAGGCTCCTGGGATGGATGGAAACAGGGTCAGGACAGGTCAACTAAGGGGAGCACTGCAAGACAGGGAAGACTGATAGAAATGAGGGATGCAAAGTCTAATTAGATCACACATTTGATGTGAAGAGGGGGAATAAAAAACAACCAAATGCCACTCCCAAGGCGGAAGTCTGGAGGTTGTGGAAGCAGCTGGAAGCTGTTAGTGTTAGAGAGCTCCCGGCCAGACACACGGCTGCGTTCCAGGCCTCTGTACCCCTCCCCTCCCGCCTCTTCTCTGTACCCTAACCTTCCTCCTCCTGGCATGGAGCCCCACCTCTCTCCCCCAACTTGTTCTGAGGGTGGGATGACTGGGAGAGGGAGCAAGCCCACACTGTGGGAGTGGGGGAGGGAGCACAAAGTTTAAGGGGCATCCAAAAACTCAGTAATCAGACTTTTTTTTTTTCTTTGAGATGGAGTCTTGCTCTGTCACCCAGGCTGCAGTGCAGTGGCGCGATCTTGGCTCATTGCAACCTCTGCCTCCCAAGTTCAAGCGATTATCCTGCCTCAGCCTCCCAAGTAGCTGGGACTACAGGCATGTGCCACCACACCCAGTTAATTTTTGTATTTTCAGTAGAGATACGGTTTCACCATGCTGGCCAGGCTGATCTCGAACTCCTGGCCTCAGGTGATCCGCCCGCCTTGGCCTCCCAAAGTGCTGGGATTACAAGCATGAGCCACTGCACCCGGCCAATCAAGACTTATTTTAACGCGATATTTTTGAAATAAAAATTAACATTAAAAACCCATGATGAATGAAATACCAACATTTCAAATAAAGACAGGACCAGTATCACTGGAATTTCCCTTTTGCCTCAGCCTCCAATTTGGCTTAAAGTGGCACTGTTTTAGATCCTGTCTTTATTTCGAATGTTACTATTTTGTTCTTCATGAAATGTTTGCATTGATTTTGATTTTAAAATTATTGCATTGAAATGTTATTTATCTTGACTACCGAGTTTTTTGGCACCCATTTGGCAAAATGTAAGACATTTTGTACCTAAGGGGAGTGTATTAATCGCCTTACTCTAGTCAGCCCTGCTCAGGGATGAGGAAAGACGGGACAAGGCTCAGGAAGTCCCAGAGAGGATCCTGTGCTCTTTAAGAAAACTTCAATGCATGAACATGGAGAAAGGCTGAGGGACTTTCCAGACTGAGAGGAAAGAGACATGATCCTGAATTGGATTCTAATGACATTATTAGGACAACTGGTGAAATTTCAATATGGACTGTATATTAGATAATAGAATTGTATCGATGTTATTAAGTTTCCTGAGTCTGTTAATTGTACTGTGGTTATGCAAGAGAATGTCCTTGTTTTTAAAAGGAAAAAGAGAAGATGAAGAAAGAGTGGCCAGAGCGTGACAGCTGCTTGACAGCTGCATTAAGCCAAACACCCTTCTCTCTCTCCAGCCTGTCTCTCCTCCAATTCCAGGCCATCCCAGGAGGATACGGAGGAAGTGGTGATGGCAGAAAATCTTGTCCAGAAGATAGGGTACTGGAGGGCTGGTTGGACATTTCTTCTTGAAATAAGAATTAACCTTGAATTCCCAAATTACCCTTCACCCTCCCAGGAAAACTTGACAACTAGCACAGAAAGAAAAAGGAAATTAACACCTATCCAAGTCATGATGCTAGCGAATTCTCTGCTTAACCCCCAGAGATAGGTATTGCTGTCCTGCTGTTGCGGAGGAAGAACCTGAGAGGTCAGGTTATTAGCCCAAGGCTACACAGTTAGGAAGTGAGAGAACTGGGATTAGAGCCCAGGACACAGCCCAAAGCCAGCTTTCTTCCCACTTTATGTTAGTTGTGCAACTTGAAATTCCCTTCTCATGCATCATCCTACCAGCTAATCCTTTCGTTTATTTTTATTGAGTTGAATCCGCATTAGCCTTGAGATTTTTGGCTCTGGAGTCAGACTGCCCCAGTTCCAATCCCGGCTCCACCAGTTACTACCTAAGGGACTCTGGGTGAGAAACTTAACCTCTCTGTGCTTTCATTCCCCCATCTGTGAAAACGGGATAATATACGGACCTTCTTCATGGGTTCGTCACAGGAGTAAATAAGATTATACCCACAAAAAATTTATGAAAGGTTCTGGCACTTAGTAAATGTTCAATAAATGCTAATAATCATTATTATCTGTCTGCATCTGCCTTGGGCTATTTATCCTTAGGAGACAGTGGCTCAATTTTGATTATAAAACCCCTCACCACTTTGACACCTACAGATGGATGCTTAATAATTTGTTCCTAAAGAAGTTATCCATCAAGATAGTACCCTCTCCCCTGTACTTAGGAGCCAGAACAATTAACACCTGAGAATCTCAAATGTGAGGGAGGTCTGTTCCTAGTGTAATTTGAACTGGGAGGTGGGCTTTTGTGTGTGTGTCATGGTTGAAAGCAGTCCATTCTAAGGGTCAACATTACTGGACAGAAATAATTGACTAAGAAGACCCAGTTCTAGGCCAGGCGCATTGGCTCATGCCCATAATCCCAGCACTTTGGGAGGCCAAGGTGGGTGGATTTCCTGAGGTCTGGAGTTCAAGTACAGCCTGGCCAACATAATGAAACCCTGTTTCTACTAAAAATACAAAAAGTAACCAGGTGTGGTGGCACACGCCTGTAGTCCCAGCTACTCGGGAGGCTGAGGCAAGAGGATCGCTTGAATCCGGGAGGCGGAGGTTGCAGTGAGCTGAGGTCATGCTATTGCACTCTAGCCTGGGTGACAGAGGGAGATGCCATCTCAAAAAAAAAAAAACAAACAACAAAAAAAAAATTCTAGTGCTTATGCTGCTATCCAGCTGCATAAGGTGTGTAGCAAGTCCTTGTTCTCTTGGGGCCCACTAGACCTGAGAAAGGGAATCTCATTGCCCCTAGAGCAAATTATAGGACAAAAGAGCTGCTCATCCTGAGCACCTTCGGTTCTTCAGGGAAGCGCTCCTTCCAAAGGCTGCCTGCTCATCTGAAACCCTCACCCCATTTTAGAGGCTTAGATTCAGCTGGGGAGGACCCACAGCCCGAGAAGGAAAACAAACCAACAGATTATGCTTCTAGGTGGCCACAGCAGGCCAAGCCAAGGGCAGGGTGGCCAAAGGTCAAGCAGCAGTCAGACTGAGCCAACACGAGCCTCCTGTGACAAAGCCAGAGCCAGAGCAGGGCAATTTTCTAACTATAAACGGAAACTCAAGAAGCTCCAAACCGCACAAACACACGTGGGAAGATGAGGGTAAGGCACAGAAGCTACGGGGTGCACGCACACAGAGGAAGGGGCTTCATGACGTGCAGGCAGGGGACCAAGGAAGGGCATATGTGTCAGTGTCGTGGATGCAGCAACAGATCTGGGTTTCTGGGGTCCTGGAGCTTATACAATTTGTGGTGGGAGGGGCGTGGTCCTCATTAAGGAAAAGACTATAGGTACAAATTTGTGTGTTAGATATGGCCTTGGAAGGGGCCAGTGCAAGTGCATCCTCCTCCCCATGTGGATTTCTGAACACTGGTGCACACTCACATGCGTGTGTTTCGTGGCCTCCTGGTTCCCGTCTCAGCACTATTTCTCTTTCCTCTCACACAGTGCTTTGCCTGATTTTTTTTTTTAATGGTAGAGAGCATGAATTAAAGCCCCCACATCTTGGAATTCAATTCCTCTCCAACACATGTGATGGGCATTTAGATTTTGCATGCCTTCCCCTACCCTCCTCCAATGCCCTGCACCATCATCACTATCTACCAGAGCAGAGTCCCTCCCCACTCCCCTACTCGCTTTGCTGTGGGTAGCCCCACCTTCCCCAAAGGGCATTGCAGCGGCCCTCTAAGCTGCCAGAAGGGTGAAACCACAGCTCCCCCCAGCTGCCTGGCCCCTTGCATTCCAGCCCTGCACCCAGAGTTTGACCTTCTCTGTGGCTGGCTGCAGACGTGCTCTGTGTTACAGAAATAGTCCAGCTCCTGAGCCCCTCCAGGCCTCCCTCTGCTTCACTCAGAGACACCCCCACCTCACTGGCTCCAAAAGAGTCAGGCAGGATCAGAGAGAAGTGCTCCGTTCTCCAGCCTCCTCCCACACACTACTCAGAGCAGAGAGTGGGGCCTGCCTGTTCCCCTCCTTCTCCTTCCAGCCTCAGTACTCTGTGTCTGCAGAGAGCGTGGACGGAAATGAGAGGTTTGAGGCATCGCAGAGTGAAGGGGAGCAGAAAGAAAAAGCCTGCAGTACCATGGAAAGCTTATGCAATTTGACCTGAAGAAAGGAGTTCAGATTTAGGAACATGGCTATTACCACCATAACCAGAGAGCCACCGTACCCATCCCTGCAGATTTCTTTTTTTAAACTACCAGCTCCATGGAGAGAGAAAGGAAAAGAATTTAGTGACAACAGTAGAGATAAAATCCGAATCAGATGGAGAAAGTCACTAACTAACATATCCTTCTTCCTAGAAAGAAAAATCTCCTGGCTCTAACATTTGTCTTTGATGTGACATTTAACTCCTAAACACTACCTTCTGGTAGGAAAATACATGGATACATGGAGTGTCTAAATGTAAATTTCTCTTGTTGGAAAGTCTCAAGACAAAGACTAATCCTCGTCCCCCTTTAAGTTTTCTCTTTCCAACAAGAAATTCTACTGGGTGTAAGGCACTGGGCCTTAGCACATGGCTACAAAGGACAAGGTCGCTGTCCTGGGGGAGTTGATATCAGGCAGTCTTTTCTCCTGTTCACCTGGGGTAGAACTGTTTGGTTCCCCAGTTGGTCAGAGAGAAAAGGAAGGATGGCTGGGAAGTCACAATGCCTGGATTAGAATCCTGACTCTACTCCATACTAGCAATGGGACTTTGGACAAGTTATTCAATCTCTCTATGCCTCAGTTTCCTCATCGGCAACAGGGGGGGTGGGTAACAGTTTCTACTTCATAGGATTTATTGTGAGGATTAAGTGACTTAATTCACATAAAATGCCTAAAACGATGCCTGTTACACGTTCGTGGTTATCATTGTCTCAACCCCCCAGCTTGTGGAACCACCAGAAACATCGGAACTGAAATTCAGTCCCCTCTACATTGCTAACTATGAGCTGTTTCTTATCAGAGATCCAAAAGGATTTAGGGTTCTTTGCAGGTTTTGGTTGCCCAACCTCCACAAGGTCCATCAATGTGAGTGATAGAGGGAAGACGGCATCTTGATCTAGGACCCCTTTGCTGTCCTCCCCCTACTCCTCATATCTCTCCCCATTGACTTGCCTGAACCTCCACACCTTTCTCATGGTTCACAATTGGCTCTGGTCCCATGGAGCCAGTAGTTGGAAAAGAAGAATCTAGAGGAGTGCTCTTGGGCATTTCCACAAGTAGTCAGACATGTGTCTCTTCTCCTCAGGGGTTCACTTCGATGAAGAGCAGCAGCCAGTCAAAAATGCTTCCAAATCCCATAGAGCCTGGCCCAAGCCCTTGTCTTCTCATGCAAAAATAGTTTCATATTCACTAATTCAATCCTAACCTAAGCAAGATGGTGGGCCTGAGTCTTCCTTGTGAGCCCCAGATGGAATGAGGGACAATGGATGGATTCAGTTACATCATGAAAGACTGAATTTAGAAACAATGAGCTTTCCAACAGTGAGACTTTTCAATGTTGACTCCCTAGTGTCAAATGGAACAATCAAACCATTTATGAAAGACTTTACTAAAAGGGTAGAGTGGTACCTGAGGAGGGGTCGGGGACTGAATGGCCTTCAAGGTCCAGGTTCCGGGTCTTTTCTGCACATGGAGAATGGCAATGACACACAGCCATGCCCCAGGTTCCATCAGTCAGACTACCCTGCTCCTTGCTAGGCCTTGCCCGTCCTCATGCCAGGCAGGAGAAGAGCCAAGCGAGAGGAGTTGGGGTGTGTAAACTCTCTAGGCCAGACTCCCCTAGGCTTGGAGGTCCAAGAAGGGCTAATGTGCAACAGAAAGTACTAACCCATTTCTAGAAACTGGCCCCATCCCTAGATCCATGGTTAAGGAAATAACCATGTGCCTAAACCCTACCCACTCTTGTGGTTACATGGGGTAGCCACCTGATCTCAGCTCAGCCAAAATCCCTCCCCAGGGATGGGAACAGAGATGGAGAGAAAAAAGAGGCCAGCCCTTCTCCAGGCAATTCTATTGGTGATGTGCACAGGAAGGAGCTGCTTTTCCATCTTTTCTTTCCTATAGACTGACCAGGAAGCTGAAAGTCCTCTCTGCAATGAGAGAAGTGAATGAGCCAGCACACAGAGAGGGGCAAAGACCATATCTGTGGCATTCAGCTTCTTGCTTCTAGTCCATTCTTGTGATCCAGCCATTTCTTTGACCTTGAGTTCTGAGAGACACCCCAGCTCCCTTATAATTAAATCCCCTCTGGGGCTTCAGCTGCTTTGAGTAGTCAGTAACTTGTACCCAGAAGTCACAAATTAATCCCAGAGGAAGGGACAAGATAATTTCCAGAGGACCCAAAGTCTCCATCTAGACTTTGCACACATGGTTGGTATGAGGAAGAAAAGGAAAGCAAACAGGAGGAAGAAGGGAAAGCACTGGGAATTTTGTCTAAAGACAGCAGAAAAGGGTGCTGGGAGGCTGTCACCAGCCTAGACACCAGGCCATCTGAGAGGACAGGAAGAAAGAGGAGGGTCAGAGAAAGCAGGTGAGCTTCCTACTGCCCAGTGCAGAAGAGCCCCTGGGATGTTTAAGAGGGAGCTGGCAACAGAAGTGGGGTGTGTCATATAGGTGAGCTAAGGTCCATAGGGAAGGTGGCAGGGGAGGACTGCTGACCGAAGGACTCAGGGAGCTCTGAGCCGGCAGCCAGCAAGCTGACACAGCTTTGAGACATTTTCCCAGAGGACAGCCATTATTGAGGGGAGAAAACATCTCGCATTCTTTCTCCTGCACTTTCCAAAGCAACGTGGGTCTTCTACTGTCTTAGGGCCTCACAGTTCTCTCAGGCTAAGAGGTTTAACCTGCCCCCTCATGTCTTCTTTAGAAAGGCCTACTTCCCTGGCACCAATTCCATGAGCTAATGTCCCCTTTAAGAATATTTTTTGCCCCATCTGTTCTCTAGTTGGCTGGAGCAGATGTTCTTTGTTCCTGTGGAAACTAACCTACCACCCTTCCTAATGGGTGTCTCCCTAGTGAAGCACAGGCCACTCCCCTGCCAGAGCAGCCGGCCCTTCTACTGCTTGGAGTTCACTGATGGCAGGCTCCTCACCACAGAGGAACACCATGGACACATGTGCCTGAATATTAAGAGTCCAGATCTTGCCTGACCTAGAGATGACCCAGAAATGGCAGCCGCCATCTGACAGTACTTAGAAGATAGAAGAGGGAGGTTATCTATGCCATTGCCCAGACAACAGACCAGGGTCCATCTTTCCAATGATGTGTTAACAGCAGGGTGCATCTTCAGCAGATTGAATTAGTGCTTCCTTTGACTGTTTTTTCATATCACTAATGAAGACCAGAGAGACTCCCTAATTGAATTCTCCCTATTTCAAGCTGCTCATCACTCTCAAGCTTACCCAGGGCTCATGATCCTTGAGGACAATCCTTCTCTCAAGACAGGTCCCCACTCAAGGGAACACTTCTCCAGCCATGCAATGCGTGGGGAAGCAGGAAGCACTGTGCATTTCACTGGCTCTGTATGGGGGTTTCTTCCACTGCAGATAATGCATCTCTCACTAAATCCAACTTGACCCCATTTGTTCTTGGCTCTCATAGCCCCGACAAAGCCAGCTGGATTCTTCTTGTAAGCCACAAAGTTGACTGAAATTTAGCTTCCTCTCTTCTGAGCCATTAGCCTACTGGGATCCCAGAAGTCAATGTATAAATAAGAACAAGCCAATAAATGATCCCTATCAGATGTCCAGAAAGTACCCCCCTAATCAGAGAAGATGTCAAAGTCAGAGCTCCCCGTGCCCACCCTTGAGTTGTCTTCATTCATTCTAAAGAGGTATTACCTTGGAGGAAAAGCCTAGCTCTGCAGGCAGACAGACCTGGATTGGAATGACAGCTCAGCCCACTTATCAGCTGAATGTCAATGGACAAGTTATTGATCCTCTCTAAACCCTAGCTTTCTCATCTGTAAAATGGGAAGACCAATTCCTACCTTACAAGACTATATGAGGCAATACAGAGCCGCAATGCTTTCATAGCATTCCAAAACCTACAAATGTCTGAACTGAAAGTTTTGTCCTAACTGGCAGCAAAACTCAACCTGACTTGAGCATATTTAGCTGCAAACTGCGACCTGAACTGGCAAGAGACTCTTTACAGCCTTTATTTATCCCACTCATGTGACGCTCTCAGTCTGGCTGCAGGATATTAATATGTTTGATTATGGAGCTGCTCCAGATCCTACTGAAGGTTTTATGTAATAAACAATGTGTACCACTTTACCATTCTAAAATCCATAGGCCCCAAAGATTTCAGATAATGAAGTATAGAGCTATACAAGCCACCTCTCTAGCTCCAGAAGACAGGAGTTTCAGCAGAGTCACCAGAGTTATTTAAGCTAAAGATGCTGACAGCGAGTCAAAGCACTTGCCTCATCACCAGTCTGGAGAGTCTCTGGGTTCCTGCAGCCTGGAGCTGGCTCCTGGGAATGCATGTTGGCATGGGACAGGGGAGAGGATTCAAAGAACAGCTCATCAGCCTACAGCAATCTGCTGCATTTCTACGCTGAATAGAGCTGGCGGAGGCAATGTGTTATTTGGTTGGACTTCAGGTATAGACATGCCCACAGAGTCCAAACACGCCACCCAAGTCCCCACCTCATTGGGCTTCCAGCCCTCTCTCCACCCTACCACCACCCCATGGCTTCATCTGTACCACTTACTCCCTAGGGCCATTCCCAGGGGATAAATGACAGAGCTGTGGGGGAAACAGAGAGAAGGGGGGCTTGAGTTTATGAGGAATTGAAGGAAGGAATTCCAATTGTGAGGGGGATGATGATGATGGGACATTAGGGTGAGAAACAAACATATCAACACACAGCCGAACAGGTTTGGCATGTTTCTCCTGATGCTGTTTCATGGCCTCAGGAGGCTTTTAAAATGGGAAACCAGCCCTGGTCAGTAACAGTGAAAAATGTTGGGCAATTCTCAGATCTCTTGGCTCTAGTCGTACATTTTAGGGACTTACTGATGATTATTATGGACTCAACCCACTCTAAGGCACAGTCGTCCAAGTGGACTTCTCAATTCTGACCTTGGACCTGCTATCTTGAGAAGACCTAGTCCATCCTGCCACCTTCAGCCACTTTTCCAACAGGCATACGACTGTTGGGCAGTAGACCTGCAGTTCAGAAAGAGGTTGTGGATGCTTCTTTTCTTGGAGTGATAACATCTACATGAAATTCTTAGAAACGCCCTACTGTGTATCACATGGAGACCTGAGGCATGCAGAATTAAACAAAGAGGATGGTGGCAATCAAATTCAATTCCCTCATGTTACAAATGAAGAATCTGAGGCCCAGAGAGAAGGATTGAGTTTTCCAAGACCATGAAGCAAGTTAGAGACAAAGCTGGCCCTGGAGTCCAGGTATTGCTTTCCATAATCTCACCATGATAAGGAGGGGGACATCTTCAAAAGTCCAGGAATATCCTTGTTGACCTTGCATGTGTCATGTTGCCCAGGCTGGTCTTTGCATTCAGGAAAAGCCATGCTGCATGATTAACGCCTTCTTCCTTCTGGCTTGAACATCTCAGAAGAGATTCTAATCTCTAAGAATTTAGCTGTACTCCCTAATGCTGTGTCCCAAACTTATGCAAAGTTAAGAAAAGATCCTCCTTGGGGAAAGCCTCCTTGGGGAAAGCCACCACTGGAGGGGACCAGAGGTGGGCTAAGAAAACCACTGCCAGCCGGGTACAGTGGCTCACGCCTATAATACCAGCACTTTGGGAGGCCGAGGCGGGCAGATTACCTGAGGTCAGGAATTTGAGACCAGCCTGACCAACATGGAGAAACCCCATCTCTACTAAAAATACAAAATTATCTGAGCGTGGTGGCGCATGCCTGTAATCCCAGCTGCTTGGGAGGCTGAGGCAGGAGAATTGCTTGAACCCAGGAGGTGGAGGTTGTGGTGAGCCGATATCAAGCCATTGCACTCCAGCCTGGGGGACAAGAGCAAAACTCCATCTCAAAGAAAAAGAAAAAGAAAAAGAAAAAGAAAACCACTGCCTGTCACCATCATTCATCTGCCCAACCCTAGGTGGAGCCATCAGATGAAGCACGGAGGGGTCTAACCTGAAGAAGCTCCTCAAGTGGCAGCTATCTTTAATTTACACTTCTTGGATCCTTTTCTTTCTTTCCCCCCTCTGCTAGTTTGAACAGCCCCATGGTATCCATCATCAGTCACAGGTTCAGGCTTTCCTGCATCACCGTTCTTAAGGGCTATGCTGCTGGACTGACCCATCACTATCTAGAAACTGTCTGGAAAAGAAAATCTCACACACCTTGGCCTGGTCTTCCAGATCGGAGCCAATCTTCCCTTTAGTCATTTTCCCTATGCCTCTTTGCCCTGAGAAAGCTCGAGAATCTGCCACCCTCTCACCCTCTCCCCACAGTTGAACAACCTTCCTAATTTAGGAATCTTAACCACTTTCCTAGGCTAGGAGGGCTCTTATTTCAGGACATGAAAATGGGATGAAAAAATCAGAAAGTTTTCTTATATAAAGAAGTCCTGGGTATCTGCTTTTAGGAAAAGTGTCCTAGAATGAACCTCAAAAAAGAGCATCTAGTTCAAGTCCTAGGGTGGTTTCAAACTGAGTTTTTCCTAAAAGCTTTTGCTCATACAAGTCTGCATATATGTGCACACCAACCATGTGTCTCAGATTCTGGCAGCTGGGCACCTGTCTGGGGTTTCCCACATATTTGTTGTAATTCCAGGTCTGAATCCTCAAAAGGTAGAAGACTCAGACACTCTAATACCCCCAGGAGCCTCCAAATTTACAAAAGCTCCAATCTATATTATTTTGGGGTACGGGGGTGGTGGTGAGACAAGAGTCTCACTCTATTGCCCAGGCTGGAGTACAGAGGCGCAATCACGGCTAACTGCAACCTCTGCCTCCTTGGCTCAAGCGATCCTCCTGCCTTAGCCTCCTGAGTAGCTGGGACTGTAGGCGTGTGTCACCATGTCTGGTTAATTTTTGTATTTTTTTGTAGAGACGGGATTTCACCGTGTTGCCCAGGCTTGTCTTGAACTCCTGAGCTCAAGCGATCTGCCCGCCTCAGCCTCCCAAAGTGCCAGGATTACAGGTGTGAGCCACTGTGCCAGGCTTAGCCTATATTCTTGAGAGTTCAAGAAGACCCACCATTTCAAAAATTGATATCAAGATTTTTAAATGTTCTTGACTTCAACCACCCAGTTAACAACATGTTTCTCACACTATTCCCAAAATCCAATCCACAGATCTCCTTGCTCTTTTCCAAAGATAGAAGACGACCTCCCTCATTTCCAAAAGGTGACTGTAGGAATAAGAATGCGCAAGTCCTAATCCCAAAGCCCTGCTATCCCTGCTATTCAGGACAAAGGGGAAGAGGAAGTGAGAGTACATTCCTTCACCGGGGGCCTGACCCTGGAGGTAGAAACCTCTCACAAAGTAAGAATGGAGAAAGACTCAATATGTTTATCAGTTTATCACATTCTAAAGACCCGCAGGGAAAGATGGTAGTGACAAGATCAGAATTCAAGTTTTCAGAAATCTGCCCCAAAAGTGGCCTTATCAGGGACAACCAATATAAGATTGTCAACTTTTAATTTTGCTAAATAAGGATATTTTAAAAGCCTGATTACCATCTACTCTCACCATCAGCTCTGAAAAAGGATAAGCTAGTAAATATTTCAGCACATCTCCTGCCCCTAAAAGATGTCTTCTAATACATTTTGCTTTCTGAAAAAAATTGGTAAATTTTCCCTATTTTTCTTATTTTACCTCAGACTGGTGAAAACTCTGTCACAGACCAAAACTTGGGAATCACTGGGCCAGAAGACAGCTCCATGTCCCTTTTAGCTTGAGCCTAAAAATTAAGAGAAAGATCCTACGCTTTTGGGATTCAGACCTTCTAGAAAACCTGAGTAGGGCAGGTATGGAAGGGAGGGGGAAATTAATACACATACTATTCTTTACTTATATTAAAGGCACTCTGTCAATTACAAGGCACTGAACAAACATTGGTTGTTATTTTATAAAGCAGGTGTCCAGTGAGCATCTACCACCCTACTGAAACCTCTTAAATTTCTGTGAGCCCCTGAATTTTACCATATCCTCGCCTGTTCAAATAATTCAGGGACAATAGAGAAGAAGGCAATCTACTCCAAGTCAAGAATTACCTGAGGAAAAAAAGTATGCCTCTGGTGCGTGGTAGAGAGCATCAAATTGGCAACGTAACAGAGACATAGACCCAGTGATGCCATTTCAATTGCACGATGAGGGGGCCCAGAGAGGACTGGTTCCATACCAGGGAGCAGTTTTCCACTCTGCCTTCCCTATCACTGCTTCTTTCTCATTACTCTGATGCAGAAAGTATGGGGGATGAACAGGTAAAGGAAAGTGCGTGCATTGCTGGGCAGTGGGGTAGAGGGAGGTGCATGCAGTACTGCGGCACGCTGGATTAGGAGTTGGATTCTAATCCATCCCTCCTGCTGACTAACCATAGCAGCATCTTTTGGCTCCAGTTTCCTCATCTATATTGTAGGAATATTTTTCCCATCTTCCCTACAGGATTGCAGGTAAACTGAGAGACCCTTGAAGGCAGATCCAGTTCTTTTCCATCTCTCTATACTCAAAATCTAGCACACTGCTTAGGGAAGAAGAGGGATCAGTAAACACCTGCTAAATTGAGCTAGAATGGGAGTGTGGGTATGAAAGCACACTTGGTCTGAGCTGCAAAGCACTGTACAATTGAACAAAAGGAAGAAATTATGACACTCTTTTGGCCAAAATTATGCACAGCAGCATCTACCAACTACATAAAGATGCTATGAATTCTATTTGGAAGTAGGTGGTGACATAAATAAAAAAATGTTTAATGCCCATAGTTTCAAAAATAACCAGACTGTACAACCTATTAATTGTATTGCCTAATAAATGGCTGTGTGATTGCCTTCTAAATTCCATTGTACTATATGATTTCTTAGGCTTAAAATGTATTTTTGTTGCACTTTGCCCATCCCGCATCACCTCTCATACATTTCTCCCACTATATTCAGAAGTCAGTAGGCAAACGGTGGTTTTCTCACCTATTCTGGATTATATCGACATTGAGAGTTGAGATCACTTGCCTGGCTGCAGCTTTGGAATGTGTCAGAGTTTAGGACTCCCCAATCCCTCTTTTTGTTCCTTTCCATCCACCCCATATTCTTTCTCTAGCTTTCTCCACCACATTCCTCCTCCAATGTATATCTCACCACCCCAAATCTGCTTTTCAAAAACCACCTCCAGCCTCTGGCTCTGTCCCATTGAGTCTGGGCCACCCACCATTCCTGCGAGATCCTGCCTCACAGCATGTGCTGCCCACAGGACCAGTGACTGCTCAGATGGCAGCCAGGCCAGGCTGCCCACCCACCAGCCCCTGTACAAGGCAGTTCTCTGATCTCTGCTCCTTGCCACCAAGAAACACCACACAAACCCTAGGAAGACGGGGCCACATTCAGCCAGCCTTACCCACCATCCACCAATCACCTGTCTCGCCCAAATTTCTGCTTTCAGGCAAAATGCCAATTCCTCCTCCCCCTCTTCCAAGGCTTTGGCCTCCATCCTGCCCAATTCTGAGGCACTGAGAAGAAAGTGCTCCTGCCACTTGCCCCTCATAGCTTTGATCCCTTGGGTTGGTTCAAGCTAATTTCACATGGAGACCATGCTGGAATGCATAAGGATCTCACCTTCCCAACAGACAGCTTTACAGGTAGATTTATAAGAAATGTTCCAGGACATAAAGATAACAACAGTAGATAGATACCGGGGACTCCAAAATGGGGGATAAACCTATTGGGTACTATATTCACTATTTGGGTGACTGGTTCAACAGAAGCCCAAACCTCAGCATTATGCAATATATCCACGTAATGAACCTGTACATGTACACCATCCCCCACCATCTAAAATTAAAAAAACAAGTGTTCTAAGCACCTACAAAATCCAGGGCTTACCCTAGGGGCATCAGTCCTCTGGATACACATGGGTTGTACTTATGTCTCTAAATTCCCTCTGCAGCCCCCTACCCCCAAGGGAGAAAATAGTCACCTTCTAGAAATTAGATATTTTCTTTAACTTTTTAATGAGAGACCCCGAGGAAGATGAACATTTATGCAATATTCTTATTTGCTAGAAGAGAAAGAAGGGATAAATGAAAAGAAGAAGAGGTAAAAGAAAGAGGAAGAACAGGTAAAAGATTTGCTTCCCAACTATTAACAGAAGTACCTGCACCACACACACACTCACACACATTCACTCTCACACACTCACACTCATTCATATCTGCCTTACTGTGAAATACTGCTCTTTGCCCAACATGTGAGTTTTTCTCCCGGGTCCTCTCCACTGAAAGTTTGGCTGGCCCCAGATCTTCCTAGCGGAGATCCCCAGGACCCTAGATTTTACCTTCCATGCCAGATGTCAGGACCCAGCTGGGAGACGCAGACTGCCGACTGAGAAGGAGTGAAGCAATACTTCTGATCGGAGAAAGCTGCCGAGGGTGGCGGATGCACTGCCCATGAGAAGGAAGGAGACAGGGAGAGAGCCTGGGATTCCAGAATTCCCCCAGCCTTCCAGGAAGACTCTGGTGTCAGCTCTCTCCTTGCTCCAGCGCTAACTGAAAACCTAAGGAACATCTCCCAATAAAGCTGGCTCTGAAATCTGAAACTGCAGGTTGGCCAAGTCCTATATAAACACACTCACACCCCCAGTTCCTCGGGTCTGATGGCTTACCCGCCCTCGCGTTCCCCTCACTCCCTACCCCGCCTGCTCATTGGAAACATCAGACAGCCCTCTAGCTGCAGCAACTCCTGAAACCCTAAGCTGAGCTAGCCCAGCGGAGCTGAGCCCAGAGGTGCAGGCACTGGGAGAGAGCCCTGCCAGGTGCTCTCCACTGTCTCTCCCAGCCCCAACCCCTCCAGCAGTTCAAGTCCAGGTGCTTAAGTGGCACTCAGGATCGAGGCAATAAGGGCAACAGGCAAGTCTGCAGCTTAAGAGCAGAGATTTTGAGACTATTCCTCCATATTAGGGAATATTCTCCTAAGGATCCGATTCTAGATAACTGGGTCTGACATATATAAATGGCTAAATTTGTCTTCCTCACCTCTCCCAATTTTCTGCATATCCTTCTTATGGAGCTCCCCTTTCTTTTGTGCTTCCACCCATAATAGAATTAGGCCAGGTGAGACTAGGAAGGGACTGTAGCAATTGTAACAAATGCCTCATTTTGCAGATAAGAGAGCTGAGGCCAGGATGATGACATGGCTTGGCAAAGCCAGGGAGTGACTCCCAGCCCGATTCGGCATCTTGGATGGTAGAAGGAAAATAAGAGGCTTACAAGTCAGATGGGCTGGGCAGTGGCTCATGCCTATAATCTCAACACTTTAGGAGGATTGCTTGAGGCCAGGGGTTCGAGGCTGCAGTGAGCTATGATCCTATGATCATGCCATTGCACTCCCACCTGGGTGACAGAGCGAGACCCTGTCAATCAATCAATCAATCAATGTCAGTTGGAACCATGCTTTAATACAACTAGATACTCACTTGGACCACTGATTGCAAGAAAAAAAAAATCACTTAACCTCTCTGAGCTTCAGTTTCCTTATCTGTAAAATGAGGCTAAGGATCCCATCTGAGTCACAGTAAATAAGGTAACATGTATACAGGGGCACATGGTAGGCACTCAGTAAATGCCCATTGCTCTTCCCACTACCTCCAGTCGCCAGCTGACTCAAGAAGGTAATTCTTTTTCTTTTTCTTTTTTTTTTTTTTTTTTTTTGAGACAGAGTCTGGCTGTCGCCCAGGCTGGAGTGCAGTGGCACAATCTTGGCTCACTGCAAGCTCCGCCTCCCGGGTTCACGCCATTCTCCTCCCTCAGCCTCCCGAGTAGCTGGGACTACAGGCACCCACCATCACGCCCGGCTAATTTTTTTGTATTTTTAGTAGAGACGGGGTTTCACTGTGTTAGCCAGGATGGTCTCGATCTCCTGACCTCATGATCCGCCCACCTTGGCCTCCCAAAGTGCTGGGATTACAGGCGTGAGCCACCACGCCCGGCCTCAAGAAGGTAATTCTAAATTGCCTGTAGTATTTACTGTTCCTCCAGTGGCTGGTTTCATGTTTCTCATTCATTGTCTTTCTGTCACTCTATTAACATCCATAGTTTACTTTGTACAGTGCTCAGCATGTAGTGCTTCATTTCTGTTAAGGGAAATATTTGACGTGCAGGCTGAGGTCATAGACAGATTCACACTGAAGACTCCCTGCAGGTCTCCCCCGCATCTCAACCTCCAGGCTCCAAGCTTCAGTCCCATGAGCCCAACCACCTACTGAGCATTTTCCTGAGGGTAACCAGACTGAACCTTAAACTCAGCATGCTACAATCAAATTAAGATTGACCACCCACTGACTAATATATCATTGTACAATCACACGCCGCATAAGGTCGTTCTGGTCAACGATGGACCACATATACAAAAGTGTTCCCATAGGATTATAACACTGCATTTTTCCTGTACTTTTTCTATATTTAGGTACACACATACCACTGTGTTATAGCTGCCTACAGTATTCGGTACAGTAGCATGCGGTACAGGTTTAAGCAATAGGCTACACCATAAAGCCTACGTGTGTAGTAGGCTATACCACCTGGGCTTGTGTACGTACACTGTCATGTTCGCATGACAACAAACTTGCCTAAAAATGCACTTCTCAGAATGTAGCCCCAAAATTAAGTAATGCATGACCATATTGAGAAGGAACTGTACAAGATATGGTAAATGAAGATAGTATCAATTTAGTATGATGCTTCTTGGACTAAGAAATAATTTATGTTAACTACCAATATTATATTTGCCTAGAGCAGGAGTCAGCAAACTTTTTATGTAAAGGGTTAGATATATATTTTTAGCTTTGTAGGCCATACAGTCCCTGTTACACTCAATGCTACCATCATAGTGCAAAAGCAGCCACTCATAAGTAAACAAATGAGCAGAAACAAAAAAGCATAGATGAATGAGTGTGGCTATGTTTCAATAAAACTCTACTTGTGGACACTAAAATTTGAATTTCATGTGTCACAAAACATCATTCTCCTTTTGATTTTTTTTTCAGCACCAAATATAAACCCCATTCTTAGCTTAAGGGTCACGCAAAATTAGGTAGTGGGCTGGATGTGGCCCATGGGTCACAGTTGGCCGACCCCTAGCTTACAGCCTCTCAGGAAGGATGTAGCAGACACTGGTAACAGTGATCCTCTCCAAGGAGGGGACTGGGCATAGATGAGAGATAGATCGAGAGAGAGACTTTCACTGAATACTTTTCTATATTGTTTGACTACTATGCATGCAAGTGAAAAAACAAAAATCAATTATGAATGGGCTCCCCATCTAAGTTCACCCTTACTTCTATCAATGTCAATGTTAACTCTCCTGGTTAAACAGGGTTATAACTTCCAGGTCAACTTTGACTCTTCTATTTCAGTCTCTCATCCCAACAGCAGTCAGATCTGAAATCCACTGGCCCAGTTCACCAAAGTACCTCAGCCTACTACTGGCCATCTCTTACTCCCTCCCCTTCCCGCATTCCTACTACTGTCTTTACCACTCAACTGTCATTTACATACAACCTTGACCCTCAACTGACTTTTTACGCCAAAAACGTTTTTCCAAAAGAGAGACTGAAGATTTTTAAGGATTGGACTATTTATTGCAATTCCTTGCCTTCCCTCTCAGCTCCTATACAAATGCCTTATACGTAGTAGAGATGCAATAAATAGTTGCTTGATTGCCAATCTCTCATCCTGCTAGAAATGATTAGGAACAGAGGGCAAAGACTCATCTACAATAAAAGCTAGTTCTGAGACATGCAGCAGGGAGAGTACACAAAAGCTCAAAGACTTTGGGAGAAAAAATCATAGTAAAGGACATTTAGGGAGAGAAAAGAGGCTCTGCTTTGGAGAAGGAAGTCAGGAAGAATGCCTCCGGTGATGATGCGGGTGTGGGGAGGAACTTGCCCTAATTCCAATCTCTAGTGCATTAGCCTAGAGTTAGGGAAACCCCTTATCCTGAGCTGGGAGATTTGGTGATCCCAGAATGAGAGCCTCCCACATTTTGGAGGGATCTCAGCATTAAGCAGTCTGCCCTCCCAGCCGGTGCAGGAAAAGGCCTCAGCAACCACTATGAAAGATGGTTATCCACAGGCCGCTTGAACTCCTGCAGAGACAGCACACTCACTACTTTGGAAGGTAGCCTGCTCCATTGTTGAAGAGTGCTGTTAGAAAGTTCTGCGAGGTGGCTCATGCCTGTAATACCAGCACTTTGGGAGGCTGAGGCAGGCAGATCACCTGAGGTCGGGAGTTTGAAACCAGCCTGACCAACATGGAGAAACCTCATCTCTCCTAAAAATACAAAATTAGCCAGGTGTGGTGGCACATGCCTGTAATCCCAGCTACTCGGGAGGCTGAGGCAGGAGAATCACTTGAACCTGGGAGGCAGAGGTTGTGGGGAGCCGAGATCATGCCATTGTACTCCAACCTGGGCAACAAGAGCGAAACTCTGTGTCAAAAAAAAAAAAAGTTATTCTGCTTCTACTCATTGTTTCTAGTTCCAGAACTAAGCAGATTAAGGCTTCTTGAGTGTAACAAAAAAAAACTAATGATAACTGCCAAATACAATACAGTTTTCAAATATTTCTTCCTTCCAAGATGTTCAAAGGGTTTTTAAACACAAAATCATCAACTCTTTGGAACTGAAAGTACCTTTGCTCAAAAATATTTATTGAATGAAATTGAATATAATTCCTTTTCCTACTTCCCAACATGAAAGCCCTAAGATTACACTCTAAAGGGAATCATTTTATTTCTTTAGAGGAGGAAACTTCACAATCACCCATGGCCATGCGGGCCCTAAAATCCTTAAACTCAGAAAATGCATCCTAAGATCTAAACTGAATCCCTCGTGCAATAGCATTTCCTCTGGTCTCAGCCCATTTCTTACCCTTCCTACTATAGGCATTAAGTTGGTGCTACATGACAAAATGCTAATGCCTAATGCTTGAGCCAGTGCTGGATAGATGCTTTATACATATTTTCTCATTGAATTCCTACAGAAACTCTGGAGGTGGGTGGTGGTATTCCCATTTTATAGCACAGGAAACTCATGGTTAGAAGAGTTAGCTAACTTGCCCAGCATCACACAACTAGTCAGTGACACAGCCAAAATTCAGTTAGGTCTACTCAGCTTCAAAACCCAGTCTTTTCCCTACAGTCCAAGGCTTCCATGACAGTCGATCATCTCTGCCAACCTCACTCTGTCCCTGAAATGTGCAGAAATGCTTATTTCCATCATTTCCATCAGAAGCATGGGAGAGATAAACGGCACACAGCAATCCTACTGTCCCTCTCCAGATTCCACCCTCTGGGGGTGTTCAGGCCTTCCTGGGATGGAGGAAACAAGAGCAAAACCATTCAAAGCATCCCAGAAACACTCAACGGCAGAGTGACACCTTTCTGGCTCACAAGTGGCACACAGTCCTGTGCTTTCCTACAACCTGCCCTTGCTTGGGTCTGGCTCCAGGCCTTACTACAGGGCCGGGATGCTCAGGACCCCATGAAGCATGGCATTGTTTGGGCAGCACAAACACAACGTTCACCTGGGTCCTGGCACCTTTTCTCGGCAGCGCTGCTTTGGTAAATATTTGGCTGGCTCACCCAGGAGAGGACCACAGGACCTCTTTACCCATATCCCAACAATCCCAGTTCCACAAAGATGGGCTAGAGTGTGCTGGGGACAGGCACAGAAGAATCACAAATGCCAAAATGCAGCCACTTCCCGAGTCATCAGCAGAAATCAGTTTGCCTCTAGTGCACTCTCTGAGAAGCTCTGAAGCATTTGCATCAAGGCCCTTAGCCCATTTTCTTTTCTTTTCTTTTCTTTTCTTTTCTTTTCTTTTCTTTTCTTTTTTTTCTTTTCCTTTCCCTCCCTTCCTTCCTTCCTTCCTTGCATTGCCCAGGCCAGTCTTGAACTCCTGGCCTCAAGCATTCCTCCCACCTCAGCTTCTCAAAGCACAGGCCCTTAGCCCATTTTCTTTCTTTTCTTTTCTTTTCTTTCCCTCCCTCTGTCCCTCCCTCCCTCCCTTCCTCCCTTCCTCCCTTCCCTCCCTCCCTCCTTCCCTCCTTCCTTCCTTCCTTGCGTTGCCCAGGCCAGTCTTGAACTCCTGGCTTCAAGAGGTCCTCCCACCTCAGCTTCTCAAAGCACTGGAATTACAAGTGGGACCAACTGTGCCCAGCCCTTAGCCCATTTCCAAAGCTCAGCTCCAAATCCCAGGATGGTTCCTGACTAATCGCCCTGTTGGAGTTCACCATCTTAGTGATGCACTTCACACAATAGTCAGGCCTCCCCACACAGCTCATCTTTTCAACCTAACTTACAGGGTGCTGGAAAAACACCGGGTTGTCCTCCACTCCAGGATGCCTACCTCCAGAAACATGCACATTCCTGGGCTCATCTGGCCTCGGGGACTCCCTGAACATAGGGATGACCTCCCCATTTCTCAAGAGCACAAACCACAGCCAGGAGTTCAGAGCTCACACAAGATGTTACTATTGAAGAAAGAAGCTGACCTTGAGGCTACTGCTTCTCTTCTCAGTCCCTGGGGAGAAAATTCTCTTGTTGGCAGTCTATATTCCATATTAGCCCAAGGAAATCATATGATTCTCCACCTCCATGCCCCCATCCTCAGGTGGCTGTCTTTGAGATTTTCACCTGACATTCTGCAGCTAACCACCTTTCTATCTGTCATCTCCCTGGGAGACATGGTCATTAGCAGAGAGCACCATGTAGGTGTCTAATTAAGCAAGCAGCAGCAAATGCAGAAACCTGTTCAAGCCACCCCACAGAGCATCTCCCCGGGGATCCTCTTACAGGCAGCTCCCTCCCCCGAGCTTCCTGGAAAGGTCTCTATTGTTTGCCTAGAACACAGAAAAGTGTCCGATTCTGCCCTCCTACTTATCTGCTGGCACAGACTTCCTGGCCTCTGCACAACCCCAGGGGGTACTATTCCCATATAGCACAATGTGAACGGTGCCCTCAGAATTGTGGGACACAGCAGCACTGGTGGGTGGGAAAGTGAGGGTCCCCAGATGGGGAGGGACAGGATCTTCTGAGGGATGTCCTCTTACCTGTCTTCCTTAGGGGTCCCAGAGCCATATCCTGCCATCCTAGCATCTTGAGATCAGGGCACAGGAAGCAAGGTGCCCTCAAACAGATTGATAATAAGATGGCAGAGACAGAGGTGGACAGCATGAGTGGCTCAGCCACTCCCTCAACCTGTGTCTCAGAGTCCTGTTGTCTGAACTGTAGCTCACCTGTTCCTGTTTCACCCTTCAAATGGAATGTTCCACTTCCCCTGTGAGCCCGGGGAGAGAAATAAATTCCCTGTTCTAGAAAAGCTTTCTTCTTTAGAGACTGAAGTCTCTGGAATTTCATCTAATACTCCTGCAGACGACAATGGAGTGACTGGGCCAACAGTAAGTGCAGAGAAGGATCCTGGAACGACAAGACTGATCCTAACTGGCCACCACTCCCCCTGGCCTGGGGATGGTCTAACCAAGGAGACTGGAGGGGAATAGACAGACACCTGCTGCCTCTGTAGCTCCTGGCGGACCTCACTCTCAGGTGTCAGATGAGTATCCCAACCAAGCTGGGGCGAGAAATAGCAGAATCCTCCTTAACTTCTTCTCCTGTGCCCTTCCCTGAGTCAAGCTTGTCTTTCTTCTAGGCCCTTATCTCCCTGCCTCAGAGACCTTTATCCACTTCATCTCTTACCTCCACAATGGCGCAGGGGCGGTAGAGATGCTGGTATGGATGCCCACAAGCTTTTCACAGGGACAGCATGTATGCTGGTATTTGGGGAGTAGGGAATAGTACTCAGGGATGGATCTAGGTCTTCTAATTCCACAGGGGCTTCAGTGACTCCAAATCCAACCCCTAGAGGTATCAATGTAGGCCTCGGTGCCCTCATGTGATCCAGAGCTCTGCCAGCTTGGCTCGGAACGCTGGCACACACTCCTGCACCACACCAAGATATGTGGGTTCACTCTGGCAGAAATGGGAGAATGACAGCCCTGTCCAGCTGTTTTCCAGTTCCTGTGAGACAAACTGGACTTTGATTACAGCAGGAATGGTTTAGGTTAGATAGTAAGAATCACTTGAAATGGGTGATAAGAGGACATTTAGGACTCTGTCCTTGGCCTTTAAAATTAAAGCCAATTTCCCCTCCACTGGCTATGGCTCAATACCTGTTTCATCATGTGACTCTCTTGCTCAGAAATCCTCAGTGGTTACCCCTCCCCTGCCTGCTACATAAGGGTCCACCTCCACGGTTTGGCATCCAAGGCCCACTGCGGCACGTCCCCACTCATCTTTCAAACGTCATATTCTATGGCTCCATGTGTAAGTTTTCTAGTTCAACCTGACTGAACTTTGCAACATTTCCCCGAAAGGCCTTAGGCATTCCTGCTCTGGCAGCGTCATTCCCCTTCCCTCTCCCCCAGATGCCTGTTAAATCCAAATCTCCCAGGGGAAGGCAGGTGGACACCGTGTTAGGGCTGAGCTCAAATGCCACCTCTTCCAGAAAGCTTCAGTTAAACACCCCCAGCCCACAGAAAACCCCCTCCGCCGTGAAGTTGTAGGCATATGTTAGCCAGTCATTCCCTAGAAATGTCCTGAGCATGACAGTGCTAGAGACTGAGCAGAGATGTGGTCCCCACCTTCAAGGAAACCCTAATCTAGAGAGTGGATACAGATAAAAGCAAACCAACAAAACCATCCTCCCGTGACAGGCAGCCTGGGATGAGGGCAGCGTGAGTGGGGAGCCGGGGAGATGCCCAGGGGAGGCCACAGCATGGAGACGACAGCATGAGAGGAGGAGGCTGGGCGTTTTAGAGGGAGTCACATTAAGGAGACGGGAGATTACTGGGGTACCTGGACTAGGTAAAGGTTCGTGTTGGGAAGTAACGATAATTCTATAAACATTTACTGTGTGTTTACTATGGACACTGTGGGAATGCTTCCTATTTATAAGCTTGCTTATTCCTCATAACTAAATGAAGCTGGACGGGTATTTGGGGGCCAGACTGTGGAGTCCCACGATGCATGTAATGCAATGCGCGAGGTGGCTCCCGCTCAATAAATATTTTCTCGTTGATCAATGGATAAATGATCTTTGAAGGCTCACTCCCAGTGGGAGGAAGCTAGAATTTCTCAGGAGCAACTAAAGCTCTGAAAAATATTTTTCTAACTTTTTAAACTATTAAAAGAAACATCGGGACTGACAAGGGGAGGAGAGGCCCTGGTTGGGTAAGAACCTGACTTTCTCGATACAGGATGTGGAGAGTGGGTGTTGGAGCACTCCCTGTGCCCACAAGAAACCCAAGTAGGCTCAGGGAGACAGCTGCCGGGAAAGACAGCTGCAGGCCGCTCAGAATAGGGACACGGGAGAAATGCTTTCAATGGGTGAGTCCAGGGGTACCCAACCCCTTGTTCCCAGTGCCTTTGCAGGATATGTGGGGGTAGGGTTCACTCAGCACCACCCAGAGCTGGCAGAGCCTCCGGAGCTGAGTTTGCCCTGCCTCCCCACTCATTGGCACGGTGACTTGGCTAACTCATTCCAGAGAGATGGAGGTCCTTCTAAAAGGTCACAGTTTCCCTCGGTTTCCCATCTTTTCTGGCCTCCCAGTCTTTGATTTAACTTTTATCTGGCCAACTGGAATTTAAGCCCATTCTCCACTGGAGAGCTCAATACAGGTATCAAACTTACCTATTTGAACCCATTCCCCACTAGGGAAATCAATAAAGATGTCAGCTCATTCCTCTTTCCTTTGGCATCTGCGTTAGGATATCCCAGGGTGGGACTCAATCACCCTACTGGTATTTTACCAGGCGCAACTAGGGCTGAAGAACGGAGAAGCCAAATGATGAACCCCAGACAGATAAAGCGGCCTCCTCGTATCCACTCCTTAAACACCTCCAAGGCCAATCACATAATCTACCGTGCCATCTGCAGCTGAAATAACCAGAACTGGACATCTGGAGGTACCTTCCAGTCTCCTCCAGCCTGGACCAAATCACTGAGCATCTCTCAGCCTCTTTTCCCCACCTGTAGAATGGAATGGAACCTGTGCTCACCAAATTCAGCTCTTCTGAGCATAAAATAACTTGGTAAATATAAAAATGTCTCAGAAAGTTAAACCAAAGAGTTAAGCATAGGGTACTGCTGATAGAATACCAATCCAGGCCTAAAGAGGCCCTCAGGGACAGCTAGCAGCCCTGGGTCCTAGCTCCAGGCAGGGGCTCCAGTTTGGAAAGCCTTTCCTGATTTGAGTCTGGGAAGAGATAAGATAACAATCAGCGATGTTGTTCCAGCAGCCAGGCCTCTTCGGAGAGTTTATCAGCAGAATCTGCCCAACCAGGAATGCAAGCTCGGCCCCACCTGTAGCCTTCACCTCCTCAGCCGGCTCTGAGGGTCTGGGCCTATTTTCTTTAGAACCTCACATCTAGGAACAGGAGGCACCTTCTCATCCATCTCAGAGCCCCACCAACACTCCCGGCTAGATCTCCACCCACCTTTGAACACAAGCCACACGGAGGAAGTCTGCCATTTCTTTTTCCTCAGAAGTTTTCCTCTAACTACCCTGTCTTACAGATAGTGTCTTTCAAACTGTGGCTTTGGAATCATCGGTGGGTTGGGAACTCAAATTAGTAAAACATAATCCAAATTGGCACATGGGAGAAATGCATTTTTTAAAAATTTAATGGAACAGAATAGAACGTAGTGTATACTGCACTTGGTAAGAATAAATATTATTTTGGGATACTTTTGTTAAAACACACACACACAATATGAGAATCCTGACTCAGCCACTTAATCTTTCTATGCTTCCATTTCTTCATTTTAAAAGGAGGACAATAACAGTATCCACCTCATATCATTATTGTGAGGACTGTATTAGTCCATATTCATGGAGCATTTGGAAAAGTACTTTACACAAGTGCTATATAAAAGTGTTATTTCATACACTTATACACACATGAGTGCATGTGTGTGTACACGTGCGTGCATGAATATCTTTGCTTACAAGGTAAATATCCTTCTGTAGGGTGGGGAAAAAACTGAAAGTCACTATGTGGGAGAAGCTAAGAAGTGTCTCTCCAAAGACAATCTGTTCTTGGAGTCCAATTCCCAGTGCCCAGGAGATTTCACAGGTGTCTGTCCTGGCTTTAGAGAAGGAGACAGAGGTCACTGGAGGAGCAGTGGCTGGACAGAGCGTGTAGAGGATCCGAGAGCACAGGGCCAAGGGCTTCAAATTGGCTCATTTACTCCACATGCAATTCAGCAGGGTAGGTACTATTATTACCCCTGCTGTACAAGTGAGGAAACTGAACCAGAGAGAAGTTAAGTTGCCACACAGCTAAGAAGTAGCAGGGCCTGGATTTGAACTCTGCTTCCCAAGTCTGGACTTGGAACCACTGGACTACAGCGTCTGTTTCACTTTGCAGCCAACTTCTTGCATAGCAGGGGAAGGCCGGCCCTCGGAAGTTTTGGCCACTGAGGAGGTGGCCTTGTCTGTGACAGAAGTGGCTCCATAAGTGTGGCCTCATAGGCACTCGCCTCAAGCAATTTAATTTTCAAGTGGCTTGAATTCAGGAAACAATAACTCCAGGGTCACAATATAAAGTCCAGAGCTTTCTACTACAATAGCTGGCGATAATAAACTTGGTTAACAGGCTCATAGCATATAATGCATTAAGTACTCGTTTAATTTGAACAGTACAAACCTGACCAGATGACATTACATCTCTCCCATACCCTTTATTCTGGAAGACTCGGGTTGTTTCTGAGCACGTCTCGTTTCATTTTCTCCATGGTCCAGAGATGTTAGGAGGGGAATATTCTCTGACTTGCCAGAGGCCACTCTATGAGTGAGCCCGCAGTGCAGAGAGGGAAGGTTTCCGGTCCAGTAAATGGGAGAACAGAAAATCAGGTAATCTCCATCTCCAAGTTCCTGTGGTCCCTAGCTCTCCCAGTCTGCCCTTGCTTCCTTCCCATCTTGATAACTATGCAAAGTCCCCCAAAAACAAGGTACTCGGTTCATCTCTAGAACTGACCCTGTGCCACATCAACCCAGTGGACACTTCTGGTGGGAAGGAAAGAGGAGAAAGAAGACGGGAGTGGGCTGTAACTGTGGAATCACTCTCCTTTCCCCGTGAGGCGCCCACAGTCCTTTCCTGTGCTATGGAACATTTCATAACACTGGGAGCAGGAGGAGGAGCAGGCTGTCAGTCTTATAGACTGTTTCCTCCAAAATTCCGTGTCCTATTCACTGTCCTTACAAATGAGAGCTGGCTAACTATCTCCTCATACTGGGTACAACCCATGACTTTTCATATCTTTTCATTCTGTGATAAGCCCCAAACATACATTATTTTTTTAAAAACTGAGGAAATTGAGATCAAGAGACATTAAGAGACTTACTCATTGTCACAACTGTGTGAACATAAGCGAGGGAGGATCCCATTAAGGCGGGCTTCTTTTAGAGCTAGTAGGCACTTCTAGTCCCCATACATCCCCTGTCCCCACCCAACAGGAGTGGTCCCTCCCTCCTGTGCGCTTTGTCTGTAAGTCAGAAGCAGGTATTTCTGAGTCACGCCTGTTGTCCTGCATTGCAGTCATTTGTTTACATGTCTGCCTCCCCCACAGCACTCTGAGTTCCTTGAGGGCAGTGGCCGTGTCTTACTCATCTTTGCATTCCTGGTATCTGGCATATAAACATTTCTCAATAAATATTTGGGGAAGAAAGGGAGGAAAGGGAGGACAGAAGGGAGACATACAGAGGGAGGAAAGAGAGAAGGGAGAAAGGGACAGGGCGGGCAGGGATGAGGAGGGAGGGAGGAAGAGTGGGTGAGTGGGTACCAGGAGCTCATGGTCATCTCAAACCAGTTCAATGGAATCATGGTACACCACCCTCTGCGGGTCTAATTCTAACAGGGACGAGTGGAACAGGCTGCCCTACTAGAGTCCATCTGGGATATCACTAGAGAGCACTAGTAGCAGAGTGGCCTTTCAGCCACCAAGGGGCCAGGAAGCCACAAGACTTAAGACACTGCTGCCCCATCATCCTTATTCTCTCCTTTCCCACCATAAGGAAGGGAACAAAGAACCAGCTGCCTCTTCCCTGGGGGAATGCTATGCTCCACCACCCCTTCATGCCTCCATGTCCACCTATTTAATGGAGGCTCGGTGCTGTCTTGGGTGATGGAAGTGGATTTAGGAGGATGGTGGCATGCAATGTACACTGGGTAGACCCCTCCACTTGACTCCCAACCCTCGAGGTAGGGGTGAGCATGGGGGGTGCTTCTTAGGTGGGGAGCTGGTGCCAGCAGGGCCCTGAGGAAGGAGCCATGCCCTCCATCTGGATTCACCATACTCGCAGCTCAGCTCCCCAGGAGACTGTGGGTGGGAAGGAGCAGTGGCTTCTATAGGAAGGGGCTCTGAGAAGGCTTGGTGCCTGCATGACTCAGGGAAACAACTAGAAACCATAACTTAGCAACTTGGCTTCTCTCTGGAATTTCCCTGGGGCAAAGAGATAGGGAAACTTTCGGTCAGCCCTGTTTATGCTGAGCCCATGTGGGGCCCCACAGCTCCTCCTTCTTTTCTGGAAAGTTCTGGGTCCCCTATCTCTCCCCACATGGCTATTGCTCATACATCAACTGCTCCCTCCACGTGCTCTGTGGAGACCTCCTGTACGCACAGCACACTGGGCTGGCCTGCAGCACTCTTGGAGCTCGATCTCTAGGGTATGTGTGTGTAGAATGGGGAGTGGGAGAGAGGGGTTCTTAGCCTTCCCCCAAAAAACCCAGAATAATGCCATTACATTCTGCAAAGCCTGCCTGATCTCTTTTGAAAAACATGTTCTGAAGCCAAGTCTGGTACATGCCAGGCAGCCCAGCACCTGGAAATGAAGCAGGAGGCTATTTCCAAGGGATCTTGTAGCTTCTCCTTTGTGCCAAAGAAGGGGGCAGATGATGAAGGGGGAGGTCCAGGCTCAATCACACTAGGCTCTTTAAATGGACAAGGCTGTTGTTTCGGGTCAGAATATGGAATAGTGTTACCCAGAGGCCATGGCTGCCCACAAGGATGGTAGAGGGAGTCAGGCAACATCACCAGGACTGTCCACTACATAAAGCACCACTCAGGGGAAGCCAAAGGCACTGAACTCTCATTCTGACCTCACAGCTAACATGCTGTGCACCCTCAGGCAGGCTACAAGCCTCTCTGATCCTCAGAATCCTGAGGATCTGCACATGACCATAAGGATGGGAGCAAGGAGAGGAAAGGACGCAAATTGATTGTGCCCCATGTCTGCTTATAACTTTTAAAGGATTAAGTTCAGCCTCCTGTGTAGGGCTGTCAAGGCTTTTCACAGGCTGGCCCACCTTCCAGCCTCCCCTACTGCCCCCCTGCAGTGCACTCTGTGCTCCAGCCTCTGACTCTGCTGATCTAGTTCCGGCGCCCATGCTTCCTCCTGCATCTCAGCCTCTGTGCATGCTGTTTCTTCTGCTGGAACCTCAACCCTTCCACCCTACCCTTCCCATACTTTAAGGTTCAACCTAAACCTGACCCTACAGCCACTTTTTACTTCCACCCAGGCAGTCTTCCTCCCTCTGTGTTTGCAAACCACTCTGTGCATCTGATCTTATTTTTCTTCATCCTTTGTTTACAAGTGTGTCTCCCCTGCTAGACTGTGAAACGGAAAGGACAAGGACCATGTCAAATGCATCTTTCATTCAACAAGCATTTAATAAATGTCTGCTGTGTGTCTGCCAGAATAGAAAGGAGAAAAGGGCAGACTCAGTCGGCTGGCCCCAGTGCTTAAGGCAGTGCAGGCCCAAGTGGGCCCAGCCTGCTGCTGAGTCAGGAAAGGCAGGCCCAGGAGCTGCCCCTGGGGCTCTGGCAGGGCATGCTCTGCCTTCTCTCCCTTAGCAGGAGACTAAAAAATATTGAGAAGAAACTAAAAACATAAACCACCACCACTTGTGGAGCAGTTTACCATGTGCTATGTAGCCACTGTTATCTATACCTTAGCTAGTCCTCGAATTAACTCTTTGGCAAAAATCTTTGTTACTCTGACTTCATATATGAGAAAAGTGGTGCCCAGAGAGGTTAGGAAGCTTTCTTAATATCAATACAGAGGCAGCAGAGCTTGCACAGGACCTCAGGTCCGTCTGAACCCGCCCCCCTACACACACCCCTTTAGTCTCATGCTGCCCAATTTAACACACTAACAATGAGCGCCTATTTGTGCCCAGACTCCTTGTTTAAGGGGAGGAAATGATGATCTATTCACCTCAAGGCTCTAAACTGGATGACTTTAGTCCTAGCTGCCCCGGCATCCTTCTGGAAGTTCTCTGTGCCCTTGCTTTCCACCGCAACAGAAGTTCTCAGGACTCTTAATGAGCCACACCAGCTCCCTGGCGTGACTTGGGAAGCCAGTGGGGTCGCACAGCAGGCTGCTGCCATCCAGCTTTTGCCACCTTCAAAGTGCCATTAGTGGACAATAGAAACTGGCTGCTTAGCCGGTGGTCTCAGGCAGTCCCAGGCCCCCATAGCTTCAACCGCTGTCACTATTATCCAGAGCTATCAGCCGCTGGGATTCTTTCCTTAATGGGCAGGCAGCAGATAATGGGCCTCCTGTGGTCTACTCTGCACCAGCCATAATCACACTCCTCACACATGCTCCTCCACATTCCCCCAACCAAGTGTTTACTCTCTCAAAACCCAATTGTAGCTACTGCCCATGTAAACTCCTATCCTACTCCTTTTATTCTGGGGACCACTCTTCCCACCCCAACCAAGCTAACTGGCCCTACGCATTTTGCAAATTCCCTTCTTGTCCCATGGCGTATCATTCTGTGGATGCAAGGTCTTCCCAACCTAAATCTAAGTCATCTCTTCCAGGAAGCCCTCCCTGATAGACCATGCCCAAACCTGACCTTCCCTTTGCTTTGCATTTCCTTGGAACTTAATGCCTTCCCCGCTTTTACATTGGTTAGAGCCATTTATGTCACATTTATTCATTTGACAAACATTTGCTAAGGGTCTACAGCTATGTGGCAGGCATTAACTGTGTATCTACTATGTGCCACAGCACACTGTGCTAGGCCCTGACACTCAGTGCCCTCCGGGAGCTTGCACTCATGTTAATTATCTTCAGAGCCTTGCCTGGGGGAGGCCCCCCTCTGCACTTAGATGGGGCACTCTCCCAAGGACTGTCTTCTCTTTGCTCCATCCTAGCACCTGACATTTAATAGGTCTTTTGCATCGTTATCTCATCTTATCTCCGCAGCACCCCTCAAGGTAGGATGGAGACACTGAGGCTCAGAAAAGATGAAGCAACCTGTCCAATAGATCCCAGCTGGTTACCAGCTGAATCATCAATAGAAATTCAGGTCCTCTGACTCCCAAGGCAAGTGGCCTTTGCCCCACAACATGCAGACTAGGATCACTGAGAGCTAGATGGGACCAAAGTGATGACTTCTCAACTGCTGTCACAGCCAAATGGACATTTCGGAAGAAAGAAAGCTAATGTGAAATTAGAGGGCATTATAAACTGCTTGTGTAACTGGAAAGCTTCAACAAGGTTGTACTTGTATTCCTGGTGCATAATAGGTGCTCAGTATGTGTTTGTCAAATGAATAAACAGCTTACTAGAGAGGTAAATGGCAGAGGGTGTAAGCTACCTAGTATTATAATAATAGCTATCTATTGAGTGCATACTTGTGTGAGGCATAATTCTAAATGCAACTCATTTGATCTTCACAACAGCCTTTTGAGATGGTTGTTGTTATGACCTCTGTTTTAAGATGAGGAACCTGAGACAAAATCAGGTTAAATATCCTGCTTGAGGATGGAGTGGCAGGACTTGGAAAGGACCTGGGCAGACTGACTCCAGAGCTGTGCTCTTCAAGTTAGCCCAGTACAGTTCATCCATGAGATCACTCAATTCTAATTACAAGCATACTGAGTGAGTGTTCTGATGAGTGCTGAGTGAGACCTGAAGTCACACTTCTGCCCTGGGCCCCAAGGTTCTGCTTGAGTCTGCATGAGTCACTCCTAGCTATGATGAAGTGCAGTAAAAGTCCAGCCAGTAGGGATGTGTTTCAGCTGCACGAGGACTTCAGGAGCCCTCTTTGGGGTCCACATCCCAGAATCTGACTTTGATTGCTCTGACTTTGATTGCCAGGCATCCCTGGTAAGAGTCAGGGCTATGGATCGTGAAGGGATTTTGAAGATGGAAGGAAATTTTTAGTATCTCAAAGGCTGAAGTAGAGGATAGAATAGGGTTTGTCACTGGGCACAAAGACATGCTGAAAAGATTTATAAATAGGATAAAGAAAGGGGCCTCAATGAATAAGCCCTTTATGGGATAGGATACGAAGGGCAGGGCTGGGCAATAGGAAACTCCAGCTCTGGCTACTTTGCAGCCCCCATTAGAGAGGCAGCTCGTGATGAGACAGAAATGTCTCACCATCAATAAGACAAGGAAAGGAACCAAATGAAGAGAACTTAGAAACAGTTTTCTCTGAGGTTGAGTTTCTCTGACAAAGTCTTATCTGAGAGGGATACAATTCAGAAGAAATGAGTGAAAGTGGAGAGACTATTCCAGAAGTCACAAAAGCTGAAGGCTTTATGTCTAAAGGTGCTGAATTGGAAGTCGATTAGGATCCTGGTGTTTTTATCTGACCTGAGGCCAATAGCTTACTAAACCTTCCATAGATATCAGTTTCTCCATTCATTAAAAGGGTATTGGGTCACCTGTTTGTGTCTTTGTCCTTTGGCTTAGGGACTGTGTTGGATAAAGGAGACTGGAGATCACATGATGCCTGAGTTACTTAGAAGAGAGGAGATGCAGGAATACAGAATTTTATTTATTTATTTATTTATTTTTGAGATGGGGTCTCACTTTGTTGCCCAGGCTGGAGTGCAGTGGCGTGATCTCAGCTCACTGCAAGCTCCACCTCCCAGGTTCACGCCATTCTCCTGCCTCAGCCTCCCAGGAATACAGAATTTGATCAGAGCTTTCAGCAAGGGAGAGGCAGGAGCCACCTCCACACTGTACTTCAGTTACCCCAATTGCATTTAGAGAGATGCAACTATTTTGATTGTCTTAGAGCTCCTGAGAGATAGGAAAGTCTAGTGTCAGGCACCTTGGGTAGGCAACGTTACTTCCCAGTTATCTACAAGTTCAGCTCTCTGGGGTCAGCCCATAGAAAACGAATGCCAGGAAGAAATGTTTCCTGCAATTAAAGCAATAAAGAGAAATGCAAACTGGGTTTAGAGGGCTGCCAGGGGGAGAATCCTTAGGGACATGGTGGTCAACTGTCCCAGTTTGCCCAGGACTTTCAGTGCTCAAACCGGGACAGTCTCAGGCACACTGAGAAAAATTGGTTGTCCTACCAAAGAACTCACGTAAATAAATATCTGGTTTGACAAAGAACCAATGGGCACCACATGAGATCTTCATGCTCAGAAATATTGAGAGCTCAGGTCCCAGGACTAGGAGCCCGAATGCCCAGCTGCCTGCTTGGTGAGCCCTCAGCACACACGTTACTGTGGGCAAGTACCTGCCTCGCTGGGCTTTGGTTCCTCTATAAGATCTGGATGGGTTTTCCTTCCTATCTGGAAGACAAAATCCTATTAGAAACTTCTAAAGGTGCTCAGGACCCTGAGCCCTGAGAAAGTTCCTTATTGGTGGCTTCTTAGAGTAGCCTGTGAACAAACCCAGGAGGCCTTGGCGCAAGACTCTACTCTGCCTGTCCCTAAGGTCACTTAGTCCTGCAGAGATCTCAGGGCCCAGGCGAACAAGGGGTGGAAGGGCAGCATGGGGAGAAGTAGTAGCTGCCATTTCCAGGCTGCCAAAGCCAAGCACCGCTGGGCTGCCATTAACATATAGACTGGGCTGAACACAAAAGGGGCAGAGTCCCTCTGCCCACAGCAAGCCCCATTCCTCACCCTGCCCAGCCGTCTCCCTAATGCATCCAGCACAGGGAGCCATGCTTCCCCTGGCTTGAGACCACTTAATTTTCTCCTAAGCTGCTTTGTGAGGCAGGCTCTGAGCACTCCACGTGTCCAGTCCTGCTGTGGCCAACTTTCTCCATGGCTGAGGGCAGCTCCAGTTCCATGCCCCCTTCTGCCAGCTGAAACAGAGCCCGGCTCCAACAGTGCCCTTCAGTTTGTGAAGACCAGAGGGCACAAGTAGACACTCAGCTCCTCTCTCCCTTAGACCCAACCAGCCAGGAGAGTGAAGCTTCTCCCTCCTGCCTGTGCCAACACACGGTCACGTCTTAGCTCATCAAATGTTCTATCAGTGCCCACTATGTGCAAAGCACTGGCAAAGAAACAGAGACAATCGAGACCCATATTCAGAACCCAAAAAGGGCCATGAGAGCACAGATAGACAGAGGCTTCCCAGCTCTCATTCTAACAAGACTTTGCATGGCTGCCCCAGTCCATGCCACCTCCCAAACCCAAGTGAGCACCACAGAGGCATGGAGACAAAAGAGAAAGAAGAGAACCAAAAGCCTGGTTAATTAATTCACAAAGCAGTGCTCCAGGTGATAGATCATTGAGCCTTACACCCTCTCACAACACATTTCTAGCAAATAATTTTTGCTGTCCAAGCCCTAAATCTGACTGCTAGGGATTAAGCTAGAGAATTAAGAGTCGGAGGATAAATGTAATCAAACCCCTTTCCTTCTCCTTGGTTGGTTGGTTCATTCATTCATTCCATATATATTTTATGAGTGCCTTCTGTGTGCCAGTATGGAGCTCAGCACTAGGACTTGACCTCACTCAGCATTCACTGCCTTTCATCATCCTTAGACTAGCTCCCTCCTTCCTATATGATCCAAATAGGGTGAGGAACTGCTCACTGCCCAAACCCTGGGGCCTCCGCACTTAGGCAGGGAGTGGTCCAGGCAGAAGCGCGCTGGGTACGGCAGCCTCTGTAGTAGGGATTTGTGGACAAAGCAGCTACTTGGGTTTCAGCCTCTCCCCAGTCTCTCTCCATCCCCTCCTCCTCCTCCTGGGATAGAAACCCTGCCACTCTCTGCTCACATGCTTGAGTCACAAGGCTGAACTCCCAGCAAAAGAAGTAGCTCAAGGATGTAACAGGCGCGAGCCCAGTGAAACAGAAATACAGTATTTCATTTTGTTCACTTTGCACCATTCTTCCTCGTTTAATGCCCAAGAAAGCAGTACCAGGGCTTCCTGCTTGTTTGTCCTTCCTACCTCTCCCACCCACCTGGCGCTGAGGCCTCACTCCTGATTTATCCCCAGCTCCATTCCTTTCTGTCTCCCTCTCAAGGCCCACAGAGGGTGTCTTGTGTCTCTAGTGCCCCACATGTGGAGAGGTACAGGAAGTAGACAGCGATAAGGAACTAGCACAGGGCAAGTGAGCCTTGATGCCGACGGGCCCCTTCTGGGAGCCCCTTCTTGGCCTGCAGTCTCTGGCCCGCTGAGGCCCAGGAGAGCGCTGAGAGCCCCGTCGTTGATTGGCACCTTGCAAGCAGACTTCCTCATCTGTCCATGCACGTTGTGGTGTCCAATGGTCTAACTGCAGATTTCCATCTCTGATCTGCATGGGCAGATGGGCGAGCGCTGTGCCAGGCCCCAGGGGACCACAAGCTCCTGGGGAGGAGGCACAGCCACCTGGCTCTCTAGACCAAGGACTCAGGGGGCCTGTCTCAAGGGCAAGAGACAGCCCAGGCCTCCAAAAGGGAAAAATACAAGAGCAAGTATAAGCCAAACCCCAATCCTCTCTCCTTTCTTCTCACTTGCTCCCATTCCTAAGGAAAGGACAGGGCAGGTATCAGAGAGCTGGGATGGCTGGCTTTCCTTTCCCATTTGAGGCATATCCTCTGACTCACTGTGTTTCTGAAAGCCAGTTCCCTGACTTCTCTGGATAAAACCTCATTATTCTCAAAATTAGAGCTGGAGCCCTGGCTGCTTTCTGATGACCCTGGCTGGGATAAAAAGGAAAGAAGCTGCTTTTATTTATTTTATTTATTTATTTATTTATTTATTTATTTATTTATTTATTTATTTATTTTTGAGACAGAGTTTCACTCTTCTTGCCCAGGCTGGAGTGCAGAGGCGTGATCTCGGCTCACCACAACCTCTGCCTCCTGGGTTCAAGGGATTCTCCTACCTCAGCCTCCTGAGTTGCTGGGATTACAGGCATGCACCCCCACGCCCAGCTAATTTTGTATTTTTAGTAGAGACGGGGTTTCTCTATGTTGGCCAGGCTGGTCTCAAACTCCCGACCTCAGGTGATCCTCCCGCCTCGGCCACCCAAAGTGCTGGGACTACAGGCGTGAGCCATTGCACCCAACCCACAGTCAATTTTCTTTCTTTTTTTTTTTTTTTAGACAGAGTTTCGCTCTTGTTGCCCACGCTGGAGTGCGATGGCACCATCTCGGCTCACTGCAACCTCTGCCTCTCGGGTTTCCCTGCCTCAGCCTCTGAGTAGCTGGGATTACAGGCATGCACCACCATGCCTGGCTAATTGTGTATTTTTAGTAGAGATGGGGTTTCTCCATGTTGGTCAGGCTAGTATCAAACTCCCGACCTCAGGTGATCCGTCAGCCTCAGGCTCCCAAAGTGCTGGGATTACCGGCTTGAGCCACTGTGCCCGGCCTCACAGTCAACTTTCAATTGTCTGCTGCTACTCTGTCCCTGTGCAGTGTCTGCACAGTCTTGCAGCTAGATACTAGATTGCTATGAGTAGATGATTTCAAAATAACAATAGCTGACATTTGTTGCACATCTACTATATCCCAGGCACTGTGCTGAGCTCTTTGTTTATATCATCTCACTTAATATTCATAACAACCTTATAAGGCTGGATAGAAACTAATGTGGAGAGAAGTTAGCTAGCTTGCCCAAAGCCAAACAACTAGACAGTGGTGGAGCCACAGTCCGCAGCCAACCCAGCTGACCTCAAAGCTCCACTCTTACCCTCTGTGTTGCACTACTTCTTGTGTGTGTATGTTTTGTAGACTGTAAGCTATTATTATAGAGTTATTGTTAGGTCACTGATAGTAGAAAGAGCCTGGGGTGATTAGAGGGGATAGTTGGGAAAGATTTGTGTCTGAGCATTAATTTGATTAAACATGGCTGAATTGTATTTCAGAGCTAACTGGAAAAGTTATTTGGAATGTTTCAGGCTCTGACTCCCTCCATCAGTACGAAGACTTAAAACATGACTGGAAAGCAATGCAAAGGACTCTTTCCAGGACCTTCAACCTGGCCTTCATGGGGCCCATGTCTTACCAGTCCACAGGGAAGCCAGAACAGGTGGGAGTGGGCCATCCTATTGCCATCCCAGAGCCTCTACCACAACACCTCCCAGAGAAGGGCCTCTTTCCAAAGCAAAAGATCGCTTACTGTGAGATCAAAGAAGCAACGTCTAATTAGAGAGTCATTAATAGGCAATTAGCCTGTAATGGATTAATGGAGCTAGGCAAAGATCATCTAGGCTGCCAATATCACACAAAAAAAGAGACAACCAGACATCGTGTGCCTCCTGATAGATGTGCATACCACGAATGGATTCTTGCCTCTGTCCCACAAATAAGTAAATTAAAGGAACCTGAATTTGATTAAGCCCTAAATCTAACTACATTTACAGGAACTACAGGGACAGCATAACATGTTAAATGACACGATGAGGATGCAATCAGCCAAATCCAGAACGTGAAAAACTCTACAGGACAATCACCCAAGCTGCATGCAGTGACTCATTGTCTGTAATCCCAGCTACTGGAGTGGCCAAGGTGGGCAGATCACTTGAGGCCAGGAGTTTGAGACCAGCCTGGGTAACAAAGTGAGACCCTGTCTCAAAAAAAAAAAAAAGAGAAGACATATAATCCAGTTTCTTCAGAAGAGAGAGAGAGAACACCTACAGATTAGGAGTGATTTAAATGCTATAATGACCAATCACAGTGAATGGACCTGATTTGGATCCAAATTTAAAAGAACACTAGAAAAAAATATATATATAATCAGGGAAATATAAACAGTAACAGGACAGTTGATTACATTAAGGAATTGTTCATTTTGTTTAGGTGTGATCATATTTTGGTATTTTTCTTAGAGTCCCTATCTTTACACTTGATCTTAGCCAAAAAGCTGCAAGGTGGGGTTTTACCATGTTGGGCAGGCTGGTCTGAAACTCCTGACCTCAGATGATCTGCCCGCCTTGACCTCCCCAAGTGCCGGGATTACAAGCATGAGCCACTGCACTCAGCTGGAAGTCCCTTTCTTTAGAGATGAAATATTCAGCTGTCTAGGATTTGCTTCAAAATTGTCAGAGGGCAGAAAGGACCAGGAACATACTTGAAAGAAGACTGACTAAGAGAAGACTTCAAAACCACTGAAGCTTGGGCACATTGGTGTTATTATAGCAGTCTCTCTACTTTTGTGTATGCTTGATTCTCTAATAAAAAGCTTTAAAAATATAAATCAGACCCTACAGATTAGGAGTAACTGTGCTAGGCGATAGTGCAATAAACTCCTCTAAGCTGGCCAGGCCTCTGGAGGTCCTGCTCTGGAGAACTTGTAGAGAGAACCCTCAGGCTGTTCTTCCCTTCCCAGCAGAACAACTGTGACAAGTTAGAGCTCACTTTCTATAGCCAGATCCCCTCAGAGCCTTTGACAGAGGTAGAGCCAGTGCTACCGAAGAGGAAGCAGCCCTCCCAAGGCCCCACCATGAGGTTGTGGAGGAGCTTCATTCTGTCTTTCGATGTGAAGCACCCCTCCTTCCCTAGATCACCCTGGCTCAGAGCCGAAAACAAACAGCATCTCCAGCCTCATACTGAGTTTGGCCTTTCAGTACCCTGGGTTCTGGAAAGAACAAGCATCTCGGCCAGGCACGTTGGCTCACGCCTGTAATCCTAGCACTTTGGGAGGCCAAGGCAGGCAGATCACCTGAGGTCAGGAGTTCGAGACCAGCCTGGCCAACATGACGAAACCCCATCTCCACTAAAAATACAAAAAAATTAGCCATGCATGTTGGCGGCGCATGCCTCTAATCCCAGTTACTCTGGAGGCTGAGGCAGGAGAATCACTTGAACCAAGGAGGCGAAGGTTGCAGTGAGCTGAGATCATGCCACTGCACTCCAGCCTGGGCATCAAAGTGAGACTCTGTCTCAAAAAAAAAAAAAAAAAAAAAGGAATGAGCATCTCAGCCAAGCAGCACCTGCAGCAACTGATCAAATGCCTTGTTGCCTTTCTGCCTGCATTAGGTAGGTACCAGAAGTGGGAAACAGGAAGAAGAAAGGAGGCAGAAGGCGTGGGAAGAACAAGAACACAGAAGAGCTAAGCACCTAAGTCCATGCTGCAGCCCAGCCCAGCCCAGCGACCCATGCTACAGCCAACCCCACCTTGGGCAAACAGCTGGCACCTCCCAGGCTGCTTCCTCCCTTAACACTTCCTGGTGCTACTGATCCCAGAGCTCTTGGGAGAGAAGAGAAGAACATTCTGGAGGAAAGAGAATTGGTGGAAAAGGGGACAGAGAGTTCAGAAGGGACACGATGAATATTCAGTTTTTAGAGAAGTCCTTTGGAAGGGAGAACATAGAAGGTGAGAGAATCATGCTTGGCCTATTTCAGAGCTCAAATTTGCCAAGTAAATAATGAGTAAAAGGGAGAAAAGAGAAAAAGAGAAAGGAAAAAGAAAGCAACTGTAAGGAGTGAGGGAAGAAAGATGGAGAGGGCAGTGTTAGAGAGGCCCCTGGGAACATGGAAACTGAGTCAACGGTCAGCCGGCTGTCCCCCCCGGGTCCCAAAGCCCCATGCCCCTAGAGTCACCCAGCCGTCCCCCCGTCCTCAAAGCCCCATGCCCCGAGAGGCCCCAGTGTCCATCCCAGCCCACTTTGCTCAGAGGGAGCCTCCCCTTACCAGCCTAGAAAGGTGTGCAGGAGCCGGGGTGCAAACACACCTCATGCCCAAACGCTTCCTTTCCTAACTCCTGGCAGCCTGCTCCAGGAAGAGAGACAAGTGGACTAATCCACCTGCCTCCTGAGGGGCGGAGTGCTGGGAGGAAGCACCACCTCAGACCAATCAAGGAGCCAAAAGGAGCCTGCCCTAGCTCACCCTTTGCCGGCATGTTGCTGCAGGGGACAGAGGGTTAACCCAGAATTCAGCCAATGTGCTTGTTCCATATTCATGCCCACGCTGGGAAGTCACAAGATGGCCAAGGCACAGCTGCCTGCAAGCCACGCCACCTCCCACCTCCCCACACTCACTGATCTTCAGGGACCACAGGGCCTGAGGTTACCTCTGAATCAACCCATGCCAAGCCAGGCAGGCAGGCATCAGTCCTCACTGTTTGTTTTTTTTTAAGACAGAGTCTCGCTGTGTCACCCAGGCTAGAGTGCAGTGGCACGATCCATCTCGGCTCACTGCAACTTCCACTTCCCAGGTCCCGGTTCAAGCAATTCTCCTGCCTCAGCCTCCTGAGTATTTGGAATTACAGGAACGCGCCACCATGCCCAGCTAATTTTTGTATTTTTAGTAGAGATGGGGTTTCACCATGTTGGCCAGGCTGGTCTTGAACTCTTGACCTCGTGATCCACCCACTTTGGCCTCCCAAAGTGCTGGGATTACAGGCGTGAGCCACTGCGCCTGACCCAGTCCTCACTCTTTAGGCACTAAGGAAACAGGCCAACAAGTCCCTCGCTGAAGGTCAAGGGACCTCAAGACTAATCCCGGCAGCAGTCCCAACTCTGAAACTCAAATCCTGGCTCTGCCCCTTGCTGGCTGCATGACCTAAGGCAAGCTACTCAGTGCCTCCAAGCCTCAGTTATAAAGTCACTGTGATTCTTTCCCTCAGCCTGCACTTCCAGAAAGATGAGAGTGTGCATAGAAGGAAAAGTGCTCTGAGCTCTCAGTAGAAAAGACGCTCTATAAATGCAGAGTATCATTATCATAAACGAAAGTTCCTGCCCCACCTAGGGAGGAGGAGGCAGGTTTCTGTTAGGCTCTGCAATGCCTCCGCCAAATGAGGATAAGGCAAACGACAAACTAAGCCAGAGAAGACCCAGGCCCCCAGGCCTCGGGCACCCTGCCCAGGAGAGCCAGAGGCCCCCAGCTCCACCAGGCGGGAAATGAAAACTGGCTGAGTGAACAGAGTGAGGAAGAAGGGGAAGGAAGGGACAGGGGCAGGGAGGAATGATCTGGCCCTGGCATTTGTGTTTGTAGGATGACTAGGGTTTCTCTTACCCTCCAGGGCTTTGCCCAAAGCAAAGTGGCTTGGAGGAGCAGGCAATTCCCACCCCAAAGGCCCCTTCTTTACTCTACTGGGGAGGAAGCTGTGGGCTGCAGAAACTTCCAAGAGAAAGTACAGCTCAAGCCCAGGACTCCAGTTCTCTGCCTCTCCTAAGAACAATAACAATATTAATAATAATCTCTGACATTTGCATAGCGTTTTACACACATTGACTATTTTTCATTGCAGCTTCACATAACCCAAAGGAAGCACTATATTATCATCTCTCCTTCTCAGCTGATTTAAACAGTTAGAGCTCAAAGGGGATAGTGAATGATCTGAAGTTACACATCCTTAGGGAAGTGTCAAAGCCAGCTGGGAACCCAAATCTTTGACTCTCCAGCTCAGAGCTCTCTCTCACCCGCTTCAGCAGGCCAGGCCTCAGCTTGCAGGGAAGGGGGAATCCTGCAGCCCAGGTCCTGCTCTCTGGGAGGAACCTCCTGGCCCCTGCTCTCCAGCTGCCCTGGGGGAGAGCTCCTTCTCAGGCTATGCAGTTAGCAACCCACTTCCAGACCGGGCAAGTTCAGTGGCTTCAGTCCAAGGTTTCATTAGCAAAAAACTCCCTCAAAAACAAAAAACGTCCATTCTTTATGCTCCTGATCATTGACAAGCTTTCCTAATCAGCCTATTTAAAATGGTAAGGTCCCTCTGAGGTTGGGAGCTCTGAGGAGGCCTAGCCTTGCACTATTTGTCCCCAGGTCTTGAACACAACAGCCAAGGGTAATATGAAAGCAGGGGTGGCAAGGAAGAGAATCCCATTTCTAGAACCTGCTCTGGGGGAAGTCCTGGGATGGGATGATATACAAGTGCAGTAAGGACAGATATGCTTCGGTCCAGGTGCCTGGAAAAGCTCCCCTGTGGTGAACATGCTTCTGGGCAAGGGATGAAGGCAGACAGCATAGCTAACCCTCCATCACAGCGGGAGAGCCAAGGGTGGCAGGGAGAGGCAACAAGATGAGTGGGACGCAAAGCCTTTGTATCCTGCTCAGTCAAACCTCAAATCTTTGTCCTAAGAGAGGGAGTCAAAGACTCTGACCCTCCACACAACTTTCCTAATTACCTATGACATACATTTGTGCTCCTCATAAGATCACCACGGAGGATGGTTCTGGGGCTATCATTCCAAACTTGGTCTTTTTCTATTTGATAAATAATGATTGCATCTATTTATGGGGTAAAATGCGATGGTTTGATACATGTATACATTGTGAAATGATCAAACTAGGCTAATTAATATATCTACCACTTCACATATTTATCATTTCTTTGTGGTGAGAACATTTAAAACCTACTCTTGACAGGGCGCAGTGGGTGGTTCATGCCTGTCATCCCAGCACTTTGGGAGGTCAGGGTGGGTGGATCACTTGAGGTCAGGAATTCGAAATCAGTCTGGCCAACATGGTGAAACCGCATCTCTACTGAAAATACAAAAATTAGCCGGGCGCGGTAGTGCACACCTATAATCCCAGTTACTTGGGAAGATAAGGCACAAGAATAGCTTGAACTCAGGAGGTGGAGGTTACATGAGCCAAGATTGCACTACTGCACTCCAGCCTGGGTGACAGAACAAGGCTCTGTCTAAAAAATAAAATAAAATAAAATAAAACCTACTCTTTTAGCAATTTAAAAATATAATTTATTATTATATTATTATTAACTATAGTCACCATGCTGTGTAATAGATCACCAGAATTTATTCCCCTTGTCTAACTGAAACTTTGTACCCTTTGACCAATGTCTCTTCCTTCCCCATCCACACCCCATCTCCTAGTTTCCACTAAAGGACTTGATCTGGATGAGATCACCTATCCAAGAAACAGACAGCGGCACTTTCCCACTGGATGCTTTCCTTCCCCTTGGCCTCCCAAGGGTTAACCTGCAGATAACAAACCCCTGCCCCCACCACTTCCCCCCACACACATACACAATCTCTCCCATTCCCCACCAATCCAGGAAAGCAGAATGGCTCAGGCAGCTGGGCAGGGGGGTGTTTAGCTTGGCCTCAGCCCAGCACTGCAGACAACTCCTCTCAACATATAGACAGCCAGGCTGGCTCCCTTGGACCAAGTCCCTCCCTTCCTTCCCCAGCAGAGAAAGGCCCTGGAGAAGGCCCCTCCTGGAGTAGGGGACAGGGAGGGAGGCTGCACTTCAGGGCTAGAGAAGAGTCTGAAGGGGATCCCATCTCTCAAAGGCATCTTTACGCCGCAGTGGCCGCTGCACCTCTCCCTGCTCTTTGCCAGAGCAACTGGGTTAAGGCAAGAAGACATTGAGGGAACACCATGCAGCCCCCAGCTCCAGGACTGGCAGTGCCAGGGAGATGATGCCAGTTTTGACAAGCAGAGACAAAGGTGACCTTGGGAGAAAGCAGACAGACAAGGAGTCATGTCATTCCCTCCCCTTTTCTGTCTGGGCAGTAAATGCTGAGCCCCGGGGGAGTGAAAGGGCCAGCTGCTCTGAGCTGGGCTGTGGAGGATGACAGTGTCCATGTGGCATGGGCAGGGCACATCTGTACCTGTCTTTGGACCCAGACCCCATAGCTTTGGCTCTGCCACAGCCCCTGTCACCTCATCTCAATAACTTTGATAGCCAGCAAATAATTCTGCCATGTCACCTTTAAGAGAAGCCTCTAAAGTGTTCCAGGGCACATGCCCCTACATAAGGGGGTGGCCCAATGTAAACTTCTCTAGTGTCAAGAAGGGCTTTGTAAGGGTCCTGTACCTAATTCCATCTGGTCTTCTTCTGTCTCCAGTCACCAACTCTACCCTAAGACACAGGTCCCCAACCACACCCACTGAGCCCCCAAAACAGCTCTCAGTGCGGCATCCTAAACCCTCATCACCAACCAATCTTCCCTGTCCATGACACTGCCTTCAGACTGCAGATTAAACTGGTCCAGCAACCCACCTGCACCAAGTCATCCCCAGTCCTGTTGCCCTTGAGATGACAGGGTGCCTCTACCTCTGGTCTGGTCTCCCTGCTCCCCGCAAGTGACAATCCAATCATGCCCTGGCTCACAAACCTGCAGTGCTTCTCTACTGTCTGCAGGATGGAGGCTTGAAATGCAAGGTCTTTTACAATCCAGCCCCAACTTATTTATCCAATACGATCTTCTGCTACCACTGTACAACTGAAAGCATAGATTTGCTGTGAGTGATACAAGTCACTGGTGCCACAGGAATTCAGCGGAAGGAGAGGTTAGTTCTAGCTGAGGCCATCAGGGCAGACCTCCTGAAAGAGGTGTGTGAGCGTGTGTGTGTGTGTGTGTGTGTGTGCACGCACATACATACACTGGGGAAAATACTTAGATCATGCACTAGGCCAACTTGCATACTGCCCAGCTTGCATTCTGCCCTCCTCCTCCCTGCCTTACCCTCCCATGGGCTTGTAAGCACAAAAGACATATATTTGCAAATTCACATGGATGCAGGAAATGCTTTTCCTTACTTGAAGATTTGTCAAACTCCAGGCATCCAGGTCAATGACTGGAACAGAATCACAAAAGCTAGCAACTGCCTGTGACAAGTCCCCTGCTAGGGCTGTACCAGAACAATAAAGAAAGCCAGGTCTAAAGAGGCCTCCTCCAAGGCTCTGGCAGGGCAGTTTGCTGGGAAGGCTTCCATTTTGCCTGCCCCTGAGCCCTGCTGCTCCTCCAAAGGACTAGCACTGGAAAGAAAGAAGAGCCTGAAGGCAAGGAGGAAAGAGTTTTTAAAATCTCATCTCTTTCTGGACTCCCAGACTTTTCAGTTTGAACCCTTGGAGGGAAGGGTATGAGAAGAGTTAAGAGAAACAATCCAATCTCCTCTGCCTTCTGTGATTCTGGCAACTCTATGCCATATATCAATGGCCAGGCAGGGGAGTTGGAGATGAAACTGAGTTGGGGAATGAAGGGACAGATCAGACCAGACTAGTGGACGCCTAAACCAGCCAGCTCCTCCCTTCCCAGGCAATGCTTCAGGCCAGAGAATGAGGAGACCAGAGCCAAAGGAATAAGAAGGAAGGGAATCAGGAAGCAAAAGACATAAATTGTAGCTCTCCCCAGCTCTACCAAGCAAGCCCCTTCCCAGTAGCTGCTACCTTCTTACTAGCCTACATCCTAACTCACCCGGCGAGATGTCACCATTGCAGAATCATTCTGAATGGGGCTCCTACATGCTCTGAGACAGAGCAAGACCAAAAAATGGAAAACAGAACTGAGTAGTGAAGACAACAAGTGAGCATGAGATGAGGAAAAAGAAAGAATTAATGAGCTCTCGTTGGAATTAATTTTAAAGGAGCAAACAAAAGCAATTAATGTGGAAGGGTGGAATCCCTCACCTCAGCTGCTCTAGGAGAAGCCTCCGGGGTGACTGGAGACCTGGCTGTCTGCACTGTGTTAGAAAGAAGATGGCGGTCTCTCACTTGGGGGGGGAATCCAGGGAAAATGACTCACTTGTGCTCCAGTGGAAGGGGAGGAGCAATTGGGAGGCACGTACCACAATAGTCATATGTATGCTGGTGAACAACGCACACACCCAAAGATGAGGAGGGCAAACCCGTCAACTGCGTTGCCAGCCATAAAGCATGCCAGGTGGGTAAAGTGCTTGTCAAAGCCTTGAGAACAAGAAGCCATGGCATGACAGGCAATAGGGAATGAATGCCCACTTGATGCCAAGTGCAGCCCTGGATGGCTTACAGTCTTATTTCTTTTCATCCAAACAACCCTATGAAGTATTCTTCTCTCCATTTACAGATGAGGAAACTGAGGTTCCAAGAGGTTAAGCCTACAGAAGGGAATGTGTGCCTTAAATTCCCGAAGACCTAGATTTGAATTATGGCTCCACGACTTTCTAACTAGGTGACCCAACTATGTCACTGTGCACATGTTACCTAACATTTCCAAACCTCAACTCCATCCTCTATAAAATAGGAATGCTGCTACTTACTTTCCAGCTCTACCAAGGAAGTCCCTTCCCAGTGGCTGCCACATATGTAAAAGAATGTAAAAGAATTCTTTTACATATGTGAAAGAATATATGTAAAGCTCCTAGCCTGCTCTGTTAAATGCACATACAAAGTGTGTGGCAAGTGCTTGTTCTCTTCCCACCATCCCCCGCTCCATTAAGGTCATTAGTTCATAAGAACTCATTAGTTCAACAGGAAGTGCAGTCTCAAATGTGTGAAAAAGGGGAAAGCAGATGGAATTTATGGAAGCCCTTTTCTATGCCAGGAACTTTACTAGGTCTTTAGGGTGGGGTGTTGAGATTAACAAGAAGAACATGACAGAGTCTTTGCCTTCCAAGAGTTTACAACCTAGCAAGCCAAGCCCATAAACAACTGTGAGAAGAGCCATGTGAGACAAAGGCAGATAAAGACAGGGAGACTTGTGGCTCCTGTGGGCAACCAGGGAAGGCTGAGAGATCAGATGACTTCTGAAAACGGGCAGGATTTTGGTAAATGGAAGTAAGACAGGAGCAGACTGCTTCTGTGGAAATGAAGGGGATGGGGAGAGGGACTCTCGCATGGCCTCTCCTAAGGCAGACCCCGGTAGGATGCATAGGCTACTAACCAATACATGCTTTCAGTCTTCAAGAGTGGAAGACCAAAAAGGTCTGCAGATTCTTTGCTGTTCCCTCCCATTGGGAAGTGGAGTCAATTCCCCACCCCGTGCATCCGGGCAGGCTCAGTTGGACCAGCAGCATGTAACGGACATGACTCTGTGTGACTCCTGAGGCTAGGGCATAAGAAGTCTTGCAGTTTCCACTTGGGTCTCCTGGAACGCTCTCTTGAGACATTCTGTCTTAGAACCAACCGCCTCACTGAGGGAAGTCCAAGCCACGTGGAGAGGCCACTTGTGGTGCTCAGGTTGACAGGCCCCGCTGAGCTCCCCGATGACAGCTGGCATCCTTTGCCAGACATGTGAGGAGCCTCCCTGGCAGCCCAGCCAGTCGAGCCTTCAGAGGATGGCCACGGCCGGAAATGACCCAAGCAAGGGCTACCCCTCCCCGAGCCCAGTCAACCTAGAGAACCCTGAGAGACAGGCATCAGCCCTTGTTCTCAGCCACTACATTTTGGGTGGCCTGCTATGCGGCAATACATAACCGGAACACTAAGTCTCCATCTCACCAACCTGGGCTGTTACTAGGGAAATTGGGGCAAGGATCATACTCAAAATGGATGTGAAAAGAGGTGAGAAGAAGAGGAATTGTGTGCTGGGAGAGGGAGAGGAGGGAATCAGTTAAACTTTCCCAGTAGCCTCCAGCTCCCCAAGCCCCTCCATTCTTCCCAACAGGATCCCAGATCAATATAACTTCATAATTCAATGAACCCCCAGGGAAATAACTAGGGGGAAAATCAGTACATGTAAAGACATTTATAGCAGAGCTATTCATAATAGCAACAAATTGGAAACAACCCAAATTCTCAGTAATAAGAGAAAAGCAATCCAGTAATGGAGCAACATGACAGAATTACTTATAGCTATTTAAAATGACAAATTTATAGATCATTATCATACCTGGGAGTGTTTGTATAAAATAATATTAAACAAAAAAGAAATTCATGACACAAGACACTAGCTACACATCAATTACAACTATATAAACACAGGATTACAACTATATAAACTATATTAACTGTATAAACTAATTACAACTATATAAACTATATTAACAAAGATCAGGAGGCACATGGAATAGGCATATCCTTTAACATTTGCTTACCCATTTTTAGGCAAAGTTAATTAAGCATTACTTTTTTAAAAGTACAAGTTAGACCTCACAAATCAAAAAAATGGGGTCATGACCGCATGAGAATTGGAAGGAGACAATATTTTGGAAAATTGGAACATGTTCTGTCACCCAGGACAGGGAAAGGGAAGGGTGGACTGGATGACAGGGATGGAGTGAGTGGGAGGGGGGTGTGTTATTCCCCAGCAGGGTAGCTGAATGTTAGAAAACAAACCCTCTGTGTTTGCTGACACAGTGCAAAGAGAAGGACTCACACAAAAGCCACCCATTATCCCGTAATTATTGTCTCTCTCGTGCCTGCAATTAACGGCTGTCTGAGAGGCGGCTGCTGGGGTAAATAAATGTTCACCCGCATTAGAGTCAATCAGCCAGCTGAAGCACCAATTAACAGGCCCACTGCAGAGACACTCCCGTACCAGCACAACTGCGGAGAGGCAGGGAGAAGATGAGACCACACATCCTGGACACGCTCATATCCCAGAACCAGGCAAGCGATGCTCAAAGCAACAACCTGAGCCCCAAGGTAGAAGCTGGTCTTGCCTCAAATGAGCCAAGCTGGGCAAGTAGGTACCCTGACCCCCAGGGCCATGTCAGAGAGGTCTTTTTGTGTTCACTCGTTGGCCAGCAACATTCCTGGGAGCTGCTATGGCTCTGGAATGGTGCAGTCCTCAGCCTGTGGGAGTCTATAGAGAGAAAGAGATGCAAGAGAAGGCCTCAGAGGTGCTGTTGCCTCCAGAGTTATGGGAGGAAAGAAACAGAAGACAAAGAGAGGAATCAGACAGGGTGCTGATCCCCGAAACAGACTTACACTGGCCTTTGGCTATTTTTGTTAAGCAGCAAACTCAGAAACACAGAGAAGGAGCTAACTTCAGAGAAGTCAGAGATGATTCTTTTGTCCAGAGAAGATGGGCAGGAGAGCGAGCAGCTGATAGGAGGCATCCCAACTCTTCTCCCAGGGATGTGGGGAAGACTGGGGTGCTTTATAGTCCTGTACAGCACACCCGGTGCCTGGCCACGGTGCTCTACCAGCCAGCTAGGCCCCCTCTCCTACCGTGGTCTGCAGCCAGCAGGGCTCAGGCCATAGGACAAGAAGCCCCAGAAGATGTGTACCAGGCCCCCAGGAATCCTCTTGGATCAGGAAGGCAGATCATGGTTGTTAGAGATTATCTGGCCCAGTGGTTCTCAATCCTGGCTTCGCACTAGAATTACCCAGAGAACTTTTTGCTCTCTGCTTTGAGGGCTTTTTCAAAATACTGGTGTTGGGTACCCACCAGAGACCAACTGAACCAGGATCTGTGGGGGAAAGGGTAGGGGCCCAGGAACATGCATTTCTTTAAAGCACCCCCCAGAGGATACTGGTGACTACTCCAACTTCCTTGGCTACAGATAAAGAACTGGGAGTCTGGTGCAGTAATACCTTGCCAAAGGTCAGCAGGGAACAGGGGAGGAGCTATAACCAGTTCATCTGATTGCAGGGATGGAGCTCTGGAAGTCAACATTGCTGGCTAAATAAATGAATGAGCTTCTAAGGGTGCACCACAGGGATCTGTTCTTGATCCTGCTGTGGTCTACATTTTCATCCATGATTTGCATAAAGACTTAGAAGGCATGGTTATCAGATTTGCTACTGACAAAGCTGGGAGGGATGACTAACACAGTGATGGCAGAATGAGGATTCCATATACTGGAATCATAGCCTAATATTAACCAAAAAAAGTAGATCAGAAACATAAAACCAAACATTTAAACTTTAAGATTCCAACTGTACATATCCAGTGGTTTGAAATACATGAGCTCAAGAGTATGTTACTAATAAAATGGGGAAAACATAAGTACAATCTATATTTTTTTAAATGCATGAGTGGCCGGGTGCAGTGGCTCATGCTTGTAATCCCAGCACTTTGAAAGGCTGAGGCGGGCAGATCATTTGATGTCAGGAATCAAGAGCAGGCTGGCCAACATGGTGAAACCCCATCTCTATTAAAAATACAAAATTAACCGTGTGTGGTGGCACATGCCTGTCATCCCAGCTACTCGGGAGGCTGAGGCAGGAGGATCGCTTGAGCCTGGGAGGCAGAGGTTGCAGTGAGCCAAGATTGTGCCACTGCACTCCCTCCTGGGCAACAGAATGAAACTCTGTCTCAAAAAAGAAAAGAAAATGAGTATTTTATAAAAACATTATGAGCTGAGCACAGTGGTGCACGCTTGTAGTCCCAGCTATTCGGGAGGCTGAGGCGGGAGAATTGTTCTAGGAGTTCAAGACCAGCCTGGGCAACATAGCAAAAACAAACAAACAAACAAAAAAACCTTTATTATGAGCATTCCAAGAAATAGCTTGTGATCAAATAGTACAGAAATAGCTTTATGTCCCCAGGAACCTGGTCAGTAGGACTAATATCAAGGCCTTGAAAGATAGGCTTCTTGCTTTCCGCATTCCTACTCCACATTGAATGACTTAGAGCAAGGCTTCTCCGCTTTTAATGTGCATATGAATCACCTGGAGGGCCTTGTTAAAACATAGATTCTGATTCAGCATGTTGGGGTGAGGCCTGAGATTCTGCATTTCCAGCAAGCTCCCTGATGATACAGATGCTAGTGGACCATGAAGACCAAGGATTTAGAGAGCCCCAGAGGTTTGTCTGTGAAAACAGTCACTCTGATTATGCTGTGGGCATCTGTGTCTTTTCCCCTATAGCCTGGGAACTTGGAGAAGCAGAGGAGCTAGAGTTGGAGGTAAGGAAGTTCCCAACAGTAAGTGCTCAGCTCACCTGATAAGCAAATGCAATGAATGAGCAAAGAAGAATAAAAGAGACCCACTGAAAGAAAGAAAAGACCCATGGGGAGGGAATTTTATTTTAGCCCCGTGTGGGTCAAGAGATTTTCCAAATAGAACGCCAGATCGCAGAACAGCATTATAAAAAGGACGCGACTGCATCAGTGAGAGTTCATGTGTGTTTGGAACCAATGTGAGGGGAGGCTTTGGGCTCCCCTTGACCCTGACCTTCCCTCTAACTCAGATCACATCTTTTATGCAGCAAAGGGGAGATCTAAGCCTGACAGCTGTCCGTGGGAAAATAACCTGAGGGCTTCAGTACAATGAGCTCAATTTAAACACCAGTGATTTGCAAATTTAGTCTGACATAATAGAAATATATCATCAAGTTGGAGGGCATCAGGGTCCCATGGAACAGACAATGTCTAGAGTATTGTGTTCAATTCCAGACAATTTATTTCAAGAGAGATTAAAAGCTACCATGTACTGAATTGCCTTTGGTTGCCAGGCACTGTTCCAAGCTTTTTACATGTATTAATGTATTTAACCCTCTCAACAACTCTATGAGGTAAGTACCATCATCACTCACATTTTACAGATGACTAAACCAAGGCTCAGAGAGGTTAAGGATTATAACCGGGGTCACACAGCTGGTGAGTGGGAAGCCAAGTGCAAACCCAGGCAGGCATATGACAGACCCTGTATCTTCCCCACTGGGTTATACGCTCTCCCCATACTTGCCTGACTCTTGAAACAATGATAAACAAGTGAGCCCAGAAAAGGATGGCCAGGATGTTGAACTGGTACCACCGTGTGGAAGTTAGAAGGAAACTTAAGCTCAACATTAAGGAATGATACAAGTTGAAACTGTCTATAACAATAGAAAAAACTACTTCACAGGGCAGTGCTCCTAGTCACTGGGGGCTTTCAAGCAGTGGCTGGCCTGACCATGTGCCCGAGACACTAGAAAGGCACCTGCTATATGGGAGAAAAGCTGACCAAGTGAAAGATTACTTTCAAGGCTGAGATTCTCAGTCCCTCCCCTATCCTGGTCATTCCATCTGGAAAAATAGACTCTGACACCAGGAGCACAGCGTCTATAATGAGCTACATTAAGCCCAGACTTGCCCCTGATTTTGGTGTGTGTGATGGAGAGAAAGTGACAGTAATGCCCAGACTAAAACTTGGCCAGAACCAGGCTCAGTGGTGCGTGCCTATAATCCCAGCTACTCAGGAGTATGAGGCAGGAGGATAGCTTAAGCCCAGGAGTTTGAGACCAGCCTGGGCAACGCAGCAAGACCCTATCTCGAAAAAATAAAGAAACTTGGCCAGGATGCCTGCAATTTGAGCCAAGGGAAGAGTTGCAGAAAATATGTAAATGAGCTGTTGCTGCTGACACCTCGCTCTTCCCTGACCTGTTCTCTCCTGAGGTTCTTGTGGGAGTGATAAACTCCTCTAAGCCGGCTGAAAATAGCCCGCTCCTTCTCAAAAACAAACATTTAAGGCCAGGCTTGGTGGCTCACGCCTGTAATCCTAGCACTTTGGGAGGCCTAGGCAGGTGGATCATTTGAGCTCAGGAGTTGAAGACTAGCCTGGCCAACATGGTGAAACCCCGTCTCTACTAAAAATACAAAAATAAGCTGGACGTGGTGGAGTACACCTGTAATCCCAGCTGCTCCAGAGGCTGAGGCAGGAGAATTGCTTGAACCCGGGAGGCAGAGGTTGCAGTCAGCCGAGATTGTGCCACTGCATTCCAGCCTGGGTGACAGAGTGAGACTCCATCTCAAAAAAAAAAAAAAAAAAGAAATATTTAAAAATATATAGAGTCAATTATAAAAAGTATAAAAGATGTTCAGTGTTTTCTAACCCAAATTAATTATACTGCAGACCAGTACCTCATCCATATTATCAGGGTGCCCCAGAAGTGAGTGACAAAGCAACATCTCCAAGGAGGAAAGCAGAAAAGGACAGATGAGATGTGATCCAGCCCCATCCTGCCAATCCTTCAGCCAGTGACTGGGAAGCAGGGATCCTGGCTCTGAGCCAGAAGGTGGAGAAACAAGCTGAAATCTAACCCAGGAAAAAATGTGGGTGTAAGAGTTCCATCATAACCAGAGTTCCCGCACCTCATTCCCTGTATGTCACCCCTGCCCCAAGCATAATGCCTGGAGAAGGTGGGGAAAGCGACTTACCGAGCACCAACTCTTTCAAGATATTGTGTTAATTGCTGTGGGGAGATACACATTTATCGGCGAGAAAGACATATGTGGATGGAACATTTCAGAACAACTTGTATTTCCAACTGGCTGATTCAGCCAATTAAAGGACACTTTTAAAAATATAACTTAATAAGTATAAGTGTTGATGACTTTGGCCTTGGTTCTGACAACACCAAATCTGGAAGACACTGGGCCCGATTGGGATGCTTTCTATTTTGATACAAAAAAGTCCTTCCTGAGGTCTAGACACTCTCTGTCTCCATGCTTACCACTCTACCCCCTCCCTGCAGACTTTCCTAACAAGGAGGCCAGGACAGCTTGACCACACACAGCCCATCAGAAGGTGCCTGAGCTTCCCCTATGCCTGCCAACCCAGGCTTCTTTGCTCAGCCCCCTGGCCCCACTCCCTTCGAGGTTTCTTTCCACTGAGAACCCTCTCCACACTCCCCATCTCTGCTGTGCCACTCTTCCAGAGGTCTCAGGTTCTCTTCTTCCCGCCCCCCTCAGGTCTGGGTGCCACCATGAGGCAGATGTCACAGGATCTCCCCGTTACCCTCCCCCAGCGCCCACGTGCACTGTGACCTGGGTTCAGCCTCACCCACAGCACAAGTACTAGAGAGCTGGTGGAGGAGGCACTCAAGCATTTCCCTGAAAGAACAGCAGGGCCAACAATGACTCCTCCTGTCCCCTCTTCCCCCACACTATGTTCTGCTCCCCCTGACCCCAGAGCAGGTTCCCCCCAGCAAAGCCACTGGAGCAAACCCTCCTTTCTCTGCTGAGTCACTTGACCTTAATGGTAAGAGACCAGAAGCCCTGGAGAAAATCAGCTCACCCAACTTCCCAGTCGCTCTCCACACTCACATCTGAACACACACAAGAAAAGTGACCCCTGTTACAGGGATAGCAAGGAAGAGCAGAAAGGTGTGGAGAGGAGTACAGAGAAAAGAAGAGAATGAGCGAAGCTCACCCTGCTAGCCACCACCAGATGGTTAAGCTGGCTTTAAGTGGGGACACTTGGTTTCTGGATTCAGAGAAGGCCTGTTCTGCAAAGGGAAGCTATGGCTCCTAGAGGAGCTGCTGCCCCATTGGATAGCCCCCTCCTCAATCACAAGTGGGCAGCAGGGAGCAAGGAAGACTACTGGCACTGGGTGTGGTCTCTGATTCTCCCTCCACCCTAGCTCTGCCTCTAAGCCCTGCCTCAGCTGCTTTGTGACTAGATTTCTGCACTGTCTGACAGCCCCCTCGATTATACCTAGAGCAGCTGACAGGCCCTCTCTGTATGCATGGGAACATGAGAGCAGCAAACACTCTCACTCTCACCCCCCTAGAGGAGGCAGCATCTACCACCTGCCTCTTCCAGAACACGGGTCTGGGCACCTGAGGGTGGCCAGCCGGGCAGCTCTGAGCCACCACAAATGAGCCATGACCACAGGGGAAGCCATGACAAAGTGGAGTCAAATAAATAACCACATCCCCCACACCTCCATTTCTCTTACTGGTTAATACACACCCACACTCACAGTTGGGTCACACGAGGGGCAAGAAGATGGCTCGGCAGGAAACATGGAAACATCCATAAATTCTAATTCTGATTCCTCCCTCACTTCCCAATGTGGCCATGGGTAAGTGACCCATCACCTCAGAAACAGACTCTTTGTATTCTCTTTCCCAGGGATGTTCCTTGCTGAGAAAAAGAATTCAGCGATATTTCTCCCATTTGCTTTTTTTTTTTTTAACACCTATTATGCCATGAATTCATAGGGAATAGGTTCCAGCAGCTCAGGCTCCTTCCCATTGGTTCTCACAAAGTGTGCTTCTCTGGGTGGAGCAGGCTGGCGCTTTAGTTGAATCCAGGTAACTTTCTCTTTGGCTTCTTTCTTTTTCTGATCATTTTCCTTCACACGTTTCAGGAAGCTATCTCGGCTCTTAGAGTGCTTAATGTGCTCAATACGCACATTAATTCTCTTGGCAAGAATCTTGCCTTTAACTTGTTTGTTTACAACAATGCCAACAGCATGCTGGGTAACATTGTAGACTCTTCCAGTTTTGCCGTGGTAACGCGTGTGGGGCATTCCTTTTTGAACAGTACCCATTCCCTTGATGTCTACAATATCACCTTTCTTATAGACTCGCATATACGTGGCCAAAGGAACAACTCCATGTTTTCTAAAAGGCCTAGAGAACATACATCGGGTGCCTCTCCTCTTTCCCTTTGTATTCGTCATTTTGGCGAATTACTGGAAGATGGCAGTTATGGCCGAAAGGCTCCCATTTGCTTTTGAAAGAAGAGAAATATGGCTCTGTTCTGCCTGGCTCACTGGCTGTCAGAGTTTAAGGTGATCTCTCTTGTTCCCTAAACACTGCTGTTATCCTGTTCTTTTTTCAAGGTGCCCAGATTTCATATTGTTTAAACACACATGCTCTACAATTTGTGCAGTTAACGCAATTATCACTGGGTCCTGAGGTGACATACATCCTCCTCGGCTTACGAGATGACAGGATTAAGAGATTAAAGTAAAGACAGGCATAGGAAATCACAAGGGTATTGATTGGGGAAGCGATAAGTGTCCATGAAATCTTCACAATTTATGTTTAGAGATTGCAGTAAAGACAGGCATAAGAAATTATAAAAGTATTAATTTGGGGAACTAATAAATGTCCATGAAATCTTCACAAACCACGTTCTTCTGCCATGGCTTCAGTCGGTCCCTCCGTTTTGGGTCCCTGACTTCCCGCAACAAAAGGTCACCCTGGACAAGCTGGGAGAATAGAGTATATTGAGTGGGTAGATGGCAGAGTATATGGATGCAGAGATTAGGGGTTCCTATAAGAAAGATACTCATCCAATTTCACAGTGTAAATCAGCTCTTCTTGAAGCACTGGGCATGCTCTCCTTGCCAGCTGGTACCATCCTGAAGTACCGATTCTCCTTATCAGAAACCCACCATCTCCCCAGCCTCTACTCACCCAGCTGGAGCTAGAAACGTACATCCAACTTGAATTTCAGCGGAATTCCTAGTCGCACACACCCACCACCCTGGCCTGTAACACCACATGTTACAGAGGCACCAAGAGCCGTAAATAACAAATCAAGAGCCTGGACAAGATACCTTCTGACTGCTCTCATTTTTACAGTTGGAAATGCTGCTTAAAGCAGTGGGTGCTGAGTAAATTAACAAGAAACCTAGAGAGACCAGGACATGGCTAGAGCTGAAGCTTCTTGACCCTCTGCAACCTTCTCCTCAAGCCACGGGCCCTAATTCAGCCATCAGCCACCCTTCAGCCCTCCCTTCAACACAGGGCAGGTTGGGCAGCTTGAAGCTGAAAAGAGAATACGCCCAAACAGCAAGGAAATGTCTCCCAGCCATAAATGCCTTGCCCGTTCTTCTGTTTGCAAAGAGCAAAGTCCATTTGGGAAGGGAAGGAATGGTACCAGCTAGTGAACCCCACACAAACCAACCCGGTCCTGAGAGATGGACACACAGGCTGAATTCACACAGCATGGCTGAAAATGGAACCGAGCAGTGTGGATTCCTTCATTCGCTCCTGCTTCTCATTCCAGGCCTTATCTTTATTTTATCACAATAAATATTTATAGGGTCAGCATTTGGCCTGGGTATTCCACAGCCACTCGCGCCCCTCTTGCTTCAGGCACTCCCAACTCAGCCCCCAGGTGCCAAACCCCCCCCCCGCCATCTCCCCCACCCTGCTGACCTTAGCCTGTGCTCAAGGCCACACTTGGCAGACATCCTGCTGACTGTCATCTCCATTGTCAGATGGGAGATAGACAATGAGAAACGGGCTTCTCTGGGGACTGGTTTAAGGCTTTCCTGTCAAAAAACCTCCCAGAAGCCTGAGGCCTCTAGGCATGGCCTGGGCCCCTGACACCAAGTCTGCCCTCACAGTGAGGTCCAGTTGCTTGGCAACCAGAACAGCTTGTCGGGAGGGGTTAGCTTCAGCCCACGCAGCTAGCCCCACCCATCCTTCCCGGCTGACTCCCCTCAGACACGGAGGGAACACCCAGACTGCTTCAAGCTTGGCCTTCTCTTTTCACAGCTCTCCTCAGTCCCAGCCTCTGCAGTCCCTGAGACAGCAGACAAGAGGAGCCTGAGTTCCGGGCCTGGCTCCAGGCCCTCAATTTTAAGGGGGCCAGGACAGACACCTGGGATCTGTTTGGATCTTGAGATCTCTCTTTCTCTCCCTATAAGAATCCTTGAGTTCTTGGCCGGGTGCGGTGGCTCACGCCTATAATCCCAGCACTTTGGGAGGCCGAGGCGGGCGGATCACTTGAGGTCAGGAGTTCGAGACCAGCCTGGCCAATATGGCGAAACCCCGTCTCTACTAAAAGTACAAAAAATTTAGCTGGGCATGGTGGTGTGTGCCTGTAATCCCAGCTACTTGGGAGGCTGAGGCAGGAGAATCACTTGAACCCAGGAGCCAGAGGTTGCAGTGAGCCAAGATCACGCCACTGCGCTCCAGCCTGGGCAACAGAGCAGGACTCCATCTCAAAAAAAAAAAAAAAAAAAGAATCCTTGAGTTCTCCTCACAGCAGGAATAAAACTGGGCAGCAGATTCAGCAGGCGTTAGGGTGGGCTGTGGACCTGAGCAACAGAGACCCAGCTCGAGCCTTGGCTCCAGGACTTGCTGCTTCTGGCCCTAGGCAAGTCATGAGACTTCTCAGTCTCGTTGACTTCATAGATCAGAGTGGCGAGGATGCCCCAGGTGATGGCACCTGGAAGGTGAGAGCAGTGGGGGAGGGCCTATACATACCTGAAGAGCCTTAGTGCGCATGCTGTCTCAGTGTTTCACTGAAAGAAGTGACTCATCTGTGAGTGCGAAAGCAAGTTGAAGGGTGAAGACTATCTTTAAAAATAAATATGTATAGGCCAGACAAGACTGCAATATGACATGCACCACTTACAGTAAGGGTAACACGCATGTGCTCCTGGAATGTATTTCTACTGGTTGCAGTCAAAAATTTCGATGTCTTCCTTTTAAAACATTCTGGCCAGGCGCAGTGGTTCATGTCTGTAATCCCAGCACTTTGGGAAGCTGAGGCAGATGGCTCACTTGAGCCCAGAAGTTCAAGACCAGCCTGGACAACATGGTGAAACCGTCTCTACCAAAAAATACAAAAATTAGCTGGGCACAGTGGCAAGCACGTGTAGTCCCAGCTCCTTGGGAGGCTGAGGTGGGAGGATGGCTTGAGCCAGGGAGGTCAAGGCTGCAATGAGCTATGATGTCACCAGGACACTCCAGCATGGGTGACAGAGTAAGACCGTGTCTCAAAAACAAAAACAAAAATAAAAAAACCTTTCTTGCTCTTGCAGATGTTCCAACCTGTGTAACTTGTGTTCTGCCCTCAGCAGAGTGAGCTGGTAAACTCCTTGAGGTAAGAGCCATGTCTCTAATTTGTCAAGAATTCCAACCATCCCACCACCATCCCCTCCGCAGGGCTGGGCTCAGAGCAGGGTTGGCCTCTAGTGCAAGCTCTTCACAGGCTGGAAAGCAGCCACCAAATCAAAAATCACTATGGAAGGAGAGGAAGGAACCCACCGCTGACGGTGCCAGGCACTGCTCCCAAACGTGTGCTCTGGAGGTCCAAGTTCTCTCCATTTTACAGATGAAGAAATCAAAGCTCAAAGAGGTAAAATTGTCTGGGAGATGGGGGCGGGGGGAGGACCAGGACTGACGTCTTGGTTTGGATGGCCCCTGGTTTTATCACTGCCAGGGTTAGCTCCTGAGCCGCCCTGTCAAATCCCCTAAACGTCCCATGAAGGCCAAGACGACTCACACTGCAAAACATACACACAAAGGGTCGGAAACAGCACAACATTCTTTCCTACCTGCCTTTTTCTGGCTTTCCCAGTCCCACGAGGGAGAGAGGAGAGGGCTGTGCTGGGGGCATCTGGGATCTGTCTTCCTCCTTGTCCAGCCCTTGTCCTTCTCTGCCTCTTTTGAGGCTGACTTCCCCCAGCTCACCACCCTCCTCTCCGAACGCCAGCTAACCGGTTACCCGGGCAACCCAGCTGGGAGGCCGCCAGTTACCACGGCAACCCAGCATGGCCGCCAGGCTGCCTTGCTTAGGAAGGTCAGGGGACCAGCCGGGCTACCGAGCAGCTGGGATGCTGCTGGCAGGACTGGCCCAGGCAGGGGGAGTGGGGTGTGGCGGGGGGGAGGTGGCCTACGTGCCTGAGATAACTAAGTTCCTGCTGTCAGGGGCCACCTTTCCCTTTGACATGTTTCCCATGAAGCAGGCTCCCCCAACTTGGGCATGAACCACAAGCCGTCCTCCCCAGTTCCATCACCCAAGCCGAACCCGACCCCTCCCACCTTCTCTACAGAGTTCCGGTCGCCTCACCTCCAGGAAGGCTTCTCAGGCTGAGCAGCAGCCAGCTGTCATTCAGCCTAACCCCAGGCCCTCTCACCCTCCGCCCTTCCTGAGCATATCCAGGAGTCCACACATATGCAACATGCGTGTGTCAGCGTGCAGATGTGGTCTCTCTGTGAAATATGGTGGTAAAAATCATAAGGAAGAGCTAATATTTTCTAGTACTTACTATGTGCCTAGCATGTTGTAGGTGACTTGTGTGAAGTTTCTCAATTGAGCCATACAACAATCATATTATCCTCACTTCGCAGATAGAGTGCCTGAGACTTAGAGAAGGTGAGGGACTTACTCAAGGCTGCACAGGTACTAACCAGCAGAGACAGGGTGAGGCTGTGTAGGGACCAGCTTCCTGGAATTCCTTCAGCTCCTGCCCTCCCCAAGCTCCTCCCACCAACCAATCCCAGGCCTGGTTTCAAGGTGACATTTTTAACTTTTATTAAGTTATTAAGTTTCACCATGCCCAACATGGTAAAAACTCATCTCTACTAAAAATACAAAAATTAGCCAGGCGTGGTGGTGCATGTCTGTAATCCCAACTACTCAGGAGGCTGAGGCAAGAGAATCGTTTGAACCTGGCAGGCGGAGGTTGCAGTGAGCCGAGATCTCGCCACTGCACTCCAGCCTGGGTGACAGAGTGAGACTTTGTCTCAAAAAAAAAGATTATTTAGGCCAGGTGTGGTGGCTCACACCTGTAACCCCAGCACTTCCGGAGGCCAAGGCAGACAGATCACTTGAGGCCAGGAATTTGAGACCAGCCTGGCCAACATGGTGAAACCCCATCTCTACTAAAAATACCAAAATTAGCCCGGCATGGTGGCGCATGCCTTGTAATCCCAGCTACTCAGGAGGCTGAGGCAGGAGAATTGCTTGAACCTGGGAGGCAGAGGTTGCAGTGAGCCAAGATCGCACCACTGCACTCCAGCCTGGGCCACAGAGCGAGACTCCGTCTCAAAAAAAAAAAGAAAAGAAAAAAGAAAAAAAGACTATCCAGTGCCACATGTTTTCTTCATATTATTTTATTTCATTTACTCCTTGCCGCTGCGGAGACTTCAGTCTCCTAACAGGATAGCTTAGGAAACAGAGACCCAGAGAGGTTAAGTAATTTTCCCAAGCTGAGACCCGGCTTAAGGTTTCTGCCTTGGGGAACCTCCTAGGAGAGTCTATCCTTTTCTTTTTTGGCCACCAACATATGTAGCATATGTCTGTATCATATACAGCATGGTCGTTTGCTCACTCATCTGCTCCCTTACAAGAGCGTGAGTTTAAAAATTTTTTTTTGACCGGTCACAGTGGCTCACGCCTGTAGTCCCAATACTTTGGGAGGCCGAGGCAGGAGGATCACTTGAGCCCAGGAGTTTAAGACTAGCCTGGGCAACAAAGTGAGACTCTGTCTCTACAAAAAATAAAATAATCAGCCAGGTGTGGTGGTGCATGCCTGTGGTCCCAGCTACTCAGGAGGCTGAGGTGGGAGGACTGCATGAGCCTAGGAGGTGGAGACTACAGTGAGCTATGATCATGCCACTGCATTCCAGCCTGGGGGACAGAGTGAGGCCCCATCTCAAAAATAAATAAATCAAAATAAAAATTCATTTTTGCAACCTAGTACCTGCCTGGTACATAAGGAGCATGCAGTAAGTATGTACCCAAAGCAAATGGTAGGGCCAGGCTCCCAAGTTCTACCCACCACTTAATTCCATGCTGTCTCTACCACATCACCCTGTCTCATTCACTCAGCCAATCAAAAAGCAGTTACCAACCATTTTGTGACTGGCTCTGCGTGAAACATCACAGATACAAATAAGACAAATCAGGCCATCTCTTGCCTTGAAGAAGTACAGTGGAGTGAGAGGCAAGGCTGAGGAGAACAGGGAATAAATTCCCCACCACTGCCCTCACCCAAGGCTTTCTCATGAGTGTTTCTCTGTGCCTGCTCCTTGGGGCCTAACCCTCCCATCCAAAGCTTCATATATCCAACCAACATTTGTTGAGCACCTACTATGTGCTAAGTACTGCCCTGTAATCACTCATAGTTGTGGGGAGAGTTGGCAGGATTAGAAGACAATGGAGTCAGGAATTACTGGACAGCAGAGAAGTGACTGAGAAGGTCAGAGTCCAAGAAGCAGTGGCCAGGGCCACCGGGAGCATATGGAGAACTTTAAAGAGCTTTCACATTTGATGTGATCATGGACTTTCAGGTCGCATTGCTTTATATTCACACCTACTTCCTACACCTAACTCATTTGATCCTTGGTGATAAGGGCAGGGTGGGAACTATTATTCCCATTTTAGAGATGAGGATACTGAGGCTCAGAAGGGGAAAAGCATTGGGTTAGGAGGAGGAAACCTGGGTTCTAGACCTCACTTGTCATTCAAACAGGTCTCAGCACTACGCCTCTATCACCATACTCCCACCCGCACCACCCCACCAAAGCAGGTTTTTCTTCCCTGCTCCGATCCCCTTCAATTCCCCAGTGAGACAGCCCCAGTTTCAAGTGAGGTTAGCAGGATTGCTGGATAGCCTGGATCCAGTCCCTGGATAGCCCACTGCTGCTCATGTGGTCCCAGGAACCAAGCAAAACCAGAACAATGACCGCACCACCTGAGGCTAGGTAGAATTTAAGAGGCTAATTGCAAGAATTTGTCTAATTAAAAGCAAATTGGCACCTGCAATTATAGATGCCTGTTCTTCTCAGATCATGATGAGCCAGACTGGGGGGACACAATGATGTCAGAGCTAAGGAGGGACCTCACCTCCTCCTTAAAGAGGGCCCTAGGCCACCTCACTGCAGAAGTGGAGCTCCGACTAACCCGAGGAAGACATAGCTGAAACCAGGGTGGACCAGCTACCATGAAGCCTCAGCACTGATGCATGTTTATCAGATCAGCACTGGCAGCTCCAGCTCTATTTCCTGAATTCACACGGTGAGGACCAATCCTTTACAGAGACTAAGTGGGTGACCTGGGAGGACTTGACAGTATCCCTGAATACCAGCTACCCTAAAAACATTTCCCACCAATCCACCTCAGCACCCATCTGGTCTTTGAGTTAAAGCCTTGCCTTCCGAAATATGATGTTCAGTAACTGACATTTGTGTGATTATTCTCAGTTTACAAAGCACTTCCATGTACATTACTCACCTAGGTATCAGCTAGGTAGGTGGTAGTGATACTAACCCCAGTTCTCAGGCTAGGAAGTGAAAGCTCAGAAGGATTAAGTAACTTCCACAAATCATATGGCTACTACTTGGGTCAGGATTTGAACCCATGTCTTCAAATTCCAGATGAGCCTTCTCTCCATGACCACAGCAGGAGCTAACATACGGATCATAATTAGTTTATCAGATAAGCTTGCGCTACTTTAGAAAGTGCAAAGAGGTCTCATGGGAATGAGAAATGCTGGGAAGATTTGACAAGGGAGAAATCAAGACAGGATGTGCACACGGCCGTGCAGGGGCGCGGACAGGGGCTGCAGGAGTACCAGCCCCAGTGGAGTATCCTATAAGCCATGCACCTGCCAGAAGAAGCCCCCAGCAAGTGTGCCATTCCAGGGGATTCTCCTGGAGGAAGTGGCTGCCCTGGGCATGTGTGTGGCCACCTCACCACATTCTGTGCCAGTAAGGCCACAGTTCATGTGGGGGCTCCAGGAAAGCTCAAGAAAGAACTTGAGGGTCTTTGGAGGAACAGGGGCACTTAGTCTTGAACAAGGAGACTTGGGAGGGCTTGGAGGGAGAGAGACGATTATACCTGTCTTCAGATATCTATGTTTCTCATGCAAATCAACAAGGTAATAATAACAAACACATTTATCACTTATTCTGCTCAGCAGGATTCTATGTGCTTGCATATGTAACCTCATTTATCTTCACAAGAAGCTTATGAGATAGGTAGCATTATCTTCATTTTACAAATGGAGAAACTGAGGCACAGAGAAGTAAAGCCACTGTTAGCATCATATCACTGGTAAATGGTAGATTCCAGATTCAACCTGAGTTTGACCCCATAACTACGTTTTGTTTGTTTGTTTGTTTGTTTTGAGACAGAGTCTTGTTCTGTCACCCAGGCTGGAGTACAGTGGCACGATCTCGGCTCACTGCAACCTCCGCCTCCTGGGTTCAATGGATTCTCCTGCCTCAGCCTCCCAGGTACGTGGGATTACAGGAAGCCAGCACCACACTTAGCTAATTTTTATATTTTTAACAGAGATGGGGTTTCACCATGTTGACCAGGCTGGTCTCAAACTTCTGGCTTCAAGTAATCCACCCGCTTCGGCCTCCCAAAGTGCTGGGATTACAGGCATGAGCCACTATTCCTGGCCAACTGTGATCTTAATGACTCTGCACACACTGCCTTTTAAGAAAAGCCAAAGACTCGAACACACAAATATGTTTATTACATGGACATATTATATATTGCATTGTTATTAATATGGACAATGTCACATTTGATAAGTCTCTTTTTAAAAATTGTCTCACTCCCAGTCAAACAGATGGATCGAAGCAATAAATGAAAACCATGAAAAAGTTGTAATACTCAATGTTGATGCTCATGGCACACACACACACACACACACACACACAAAAAAAATCCATTCTCAGACACAGCTGCGAGGAATGTAAATTAGTGCTTTTGAACGAGGTATTTGGCAAAATATTTTAATAATGTAGCCATTTCACTTCTAGAAATGCAACCTAAGGGAAAAAAGTATTGATATGTGTGAAGATTCAGATATTTATATGTTCATTGTAGCCTTGTTTATAAAAGTAGAAAATTGGAAATACCTAGTTTAACATAGGGGCCAAATCAACAAATAAATTGAAAAGGTATATAATGAAATATGAGACAGCCACTTTAAAATGATGCTGTAAAGGCCAGGTGTGGTGGTTCACGCCTGTAATCCCAGCACTTTGGGAGGCCGACGTGGGTGGATCACTTGAGCACAGGAGTTCAAGACCAGCCTGGCCAACGTGGCCAACTCTATCAAAAATACATAAAATTAGCCAGGTATGGTGACATGCACCTGTAGACCCAGCCACTTGGGAGGCTGAGGTAGGAGGATCGCTTGAGCCTAGGAGGTTGAGACTGCAGTGAGCAGAGATTGTACCACAGCACTCCAGCCTGGACAACAGAACAAGGCCCTGTCTCAAATAATAATAATAATATTAATAATAATAATAATGCTGTTAAAGAATATTTAATAATATGAAAAAATGCTTTCTGTTTAAGTGACAATAATACACATCTGGGCCAAAATTTTAATGATATATATGTATTGTGATAATCTAGACATACACTCATGCATGAATTCATAAAAGTACAAGTATACCAAAATTAAAATTATATATCAAACCTATGGGTAATTCTTAACTTTGCTTTAGGTTTTTCTACATTTTTAAATGACAATGTATTACTTTTACACTCACAGAATAGTAATTCTTTTAATGTACACCCTTCATCACATTAATTCTATGCCTTGGAATTTATCCTAAGTCACCCAAAACACAGAAAGAGCCTTATGAACAAAAATGTTCCTCTTGTGCTATCTGTAAAAGGAAAATAAGGTAACAACCTAAATGTCCAATATAGAAATGATCATGTAAAATATATTACATCCACACACGGACTATTATATACTATTTTAATCAAAAGAAAACTATTTTTATGACCACGTAAAAGAGAGAGGTGACTTGTTCTGCACAGCTTCAAAGAATCAGAACCAGAGGGTGGAACTTAGAAGTCGGCAGATTTTGATTCAACATAGAAGAATGTTCCAGCCACAGAGGAAGCTGCCTTGTGAGGTAATGAGCTCCCTGTCACTGAAATTATCCAAGTGAGGCTGCTGCTTCTGTCAGGGAGGCTGAGGAAGGCTCATCTGGATGTGGAGGGAGTCTGGACTAGATAGTCTCTGAGGGGCGTCTGAAGGTTGTAGGTGCTGAGCAGGAGCCCCCTGAACAGACAGATGGTCAAGGGAAGGCTTCCACTCAGCCTACCCTCAACTTCTTTTCCTTCTGCTCCCAGTTACTCTAAATGTCTCCCAAAATATAGTCTTTTTTTCCTCTCTGAATGTGCTTTAAGTGTTTGGAGACTGGCCTGCTCAAGTCCCCTCATTAAGCCCTGGCTTCCTGAGCCCGTTCGCCTCACCCCAGAGCTCAGGGGAGTGCGAATCCTGCAGCTCTTTTGTGAGGCACAGCTCCAACCTTCCTCTGGGGGGCCCCATGGGTGCGCCAAGACCAGTGCCAATGACCTCATCAAATTCACAACAGGCAGTGAGGAAGACGATGAGGAAATTGGCTCGGAGAACGGAACCGCAGCCTGTTCAGCACCAGTTGACACCACGCTCCCATCTGCTGTTGCGGCTTCTTCACTCTGGCCTAGGCCAGTCCCCTGGGCCAAGAGAGCTCGCTCTATGAGCCCGAGGCTGCAGGCTGGGTCTGGGCGAGGTGGGGGCTCTGATGTCAGCCCGGGAGCCAAGGTGGCTGCCTCCCTCACTGACTGAGGGATCAGTAATTATTTCATTTACAAGCAGAAATAATCCAACTCAATAATCCAGGCAGACACATTCAAAGTAATTATCTGTGTAAGGCGTCCTGCACCATCACCTTCCTAGGAAGGAGGAAAAGAAGCCTAGCCCAGCAAAAAAAAAGCAGGTGGGGACCCCCATTGTCTGCAGCCTGTGTGCAGCAGCCTGCCAGGATTAATTACACACCAGTGCTAACACATTTATCACCTCGCCGCTGATTGGAAAACCAATGACTTTTAATAATTCATATCTGTGGCTCGGCACTCTGTGCCCTTGTGCAAAGACACAGAAACTCGCTTGTTTCCATAAGGAAAGCCCAGTGGCAGTGCCAGGAGGGGTGCCTTCAGCCCCTCCTGCCACCCCAACCTGGAGACAGGCCAGAGCCTAGCCGCTCCCACCTCCCCTCCACCAGCAGGGTCTGCTCATGTCCTGCTGAAGCTAAAATGCAGCTGCTCGGGGGTGAAAGCTGGCGACTGAACCGTCCTAGCCACAGGAGCCCTCCTCAGTTTCATACTCTTCCAGGGTGGCCTGGAAAACAGGATTTGGGAGATTTGTAGGGCAAGTGCCCGCAGTGCCCCCGCACCTGCCCAGACAGTGGGCTCAGGCAGATACCTGCCAGCCAGGACCCTGCCCCACCATGCAGGAGACCCTCAGCAGAGTGCACCACTCAAGTGATCAGATTGAGGGTAAAGGGTCTACAGGGCTTTGGGAAGAGCCTCCAATCCCTGAAGGCTGCAACCTCCTCTGACACCAGCTCTGAGCTCCAGCCTCCTCCCCACCACCTTCCACCCTCCTGCAGCTCTCCCTCCCCACCCCTGTGCCCCGGGGATGGCTCTCCCTCTATCCCGGTTCTCCATCTCTGCTCTCCCAGGCTCCACAGCCCCCTTCCCTGCCCTGGCTGGCCTGTTGTCTCAAAGAGCATTTCCCAGGAGCCTCTTCTCCCTTCTTCTCCCTTCTCCCCCACCCCCGCCACTTTCCTGTCTCGCCCCGCTTCCCTCCCCTTCCACTGTAGCCCTCCTTACCCTTCTCTGGCCAGTCCCCCAACTGTCCTCCTTTCCTCAGACTCCTCACACAATACCTCGAGGCTCTTAGCTGGCTGCAGCCTGGTCCCATCATTATAAATGCCATCCCCTCATTCCCTGCCCTCCTCTACCACATACCAGGCTCCAGCTCCTTCAAGAGCTCCCCACTAAATCTGAGACCCCCAGAGCTCAGATGCGTCCTAGGAATTGGAATCCAAGAGCCTCTGTCACCCTTCGACCCAACCTCTGACTCATAAGAATGATACACACCCTGACCCCTCCCCACGCTGAGGAAGGTGAGTCCCTGGGGCTGACCTGAGCCTGACCCTGGACCCCCTCCCTCTCTCCTTCCTGCTGGCAAGATTAAAGGGAGGGTGGGCTGGCCTCTCTGTGCTAGCTTGCGTGGGGGACCCCTGCTGGACCCTAGGAAGCTGCCAGCCCCAACGCTGCCTTCATCCAGGAGATGCAATTCAAATGTAATCAATTTAAACAGCATCAGCCCTGACAGGGGACTCTGGAGGTGGGGGTGGGGGCACAGGGAGGGCTATAATTAGCATTCTCAGCATCCATGATCCCCAAGTAAGGCTGCCAAGGATGAGAGATGGGGAAGCCAGTGCTCCGCAGTGCAAGCAGCCCAGGCTCACGCGGCAGACAGGCAGCTGCCAGCCCTGACCAGAGCCCAGCCTTCCTCCTCCCACCTCATCTATGTGATGCATGAAAACAGACTCACCGGCTTCTGAGGTGTGATCCCCGCGCTGGAAAGCTCTAACTCTGCGAGCCCCAAGGCACCCCTCCCCCCAGCTCAGGCCAGCTGGGGTCCTCCTCCCCCGCCCCTGGGGCCCCCTTCTGCAGAGCGGGGCTCCGGATCTAATCTGATCTAATCAGTCATCTCTCCGGCTGGCAGGTCCCTGGCGCAGGGAGAGGATGCTGTTGTGGTTACTGCAGGATCCAGCATCTTTCCCAGGCAGAGGCAGCTGGGCATGCTCCATCGGCTCCCCCGGGGATTTCAGGGCCACGTGACTCTCCCTCCCCAAGCTGTCACTTAGGATCAGGAGTAAATAGTCCCCGAAAAGGTTTAACTCCATCCACACCAGCGACAAGCTGCTAACCATCCACGCAGCCTGCCTGCCCGGGAGAGGATGGGGTGGCTCAGCACAGCCTCCTGGGCCTTCCACCACCAGGAGAAGGCTGCCCCCCAAAGGGGAGCAGGGCCACCGTCTGGGTAAGCTGCATTTTTAGAGTCCCCCACAAGAGACTGCAGGGAGCCAGAAACTGCCCAGGGTCTTAGAATCATGTGTGGGGCCTCACCCAGCCAGCCTGGTGATCACCTTTCACCTCTGTGGCTGTCTACTCCAGAGAGGGGCACGTCTCTAGGTGTCAAGAGGGCTTGGCTGGGGCCCTGGGGCCTCCCCATCCCCCGCCCCCCCCCCAATATGGTGAATTTAGAGAAATAACATTTGGAGAGGGTTGGGGGCCACTATGAGATGCCAGGATGAGTGGGGTGTGAGTGGGTTGTGGAGCCACTGCCCCCACACCAACCAGCCAGGCTCCTCCCAGGCCCTGGGAGGGAAGTCTGTGCTCCTGTTCCTTCCGTTGCACATTCCTTTACAGATAAGGGCTTCAGTTGGTAAAAATGATATAGGTACTCAGATCACACTAAGACAGACCCACTTGTATTGGAGTCGAGAGGCTTAATTTTTTAATCAAGTTGTTCTAATAATAAACAAAAAATGCAATTATCAGGTGAGTGGGGCCTTGCAGAAACCCTTTCTCTAGCTCCTGCCCAAATCGGTCTTGATAACCCTGAGCAAGGATGCTAGCCAAGCTACGGGGTACCTGGGTTCTGTATTATTCAGGATCAGAGGCAGAAGGAAGGACTTCAGACAATAGGGTCGTAGCTCTGTTTCTGCTTAGACAAAGATTGCTTTCTGCCTCAGTTTCCCTTTATCCACATCTCTCTCAGTTTTCCTCTATCCACGGATTCTCTGTGACAATGGGCAAGTGTAATAAAAACACTGATTTCATAAACAGGATCAGAAAGATGGAAAAAACCAAAAGATTCCCACCTCAACCTCCAGGCAGGCTCGCTGGTCTCAGTCCCATCTGCCCCTTAAACCTGGAAACTGGGGACTGAACCAGATGAGCTTCTGGAGTCACTTCTGAATAGAGAAATATGTCAAGAAGCAGGAGCTAGAGAAAGGGTGTCTGCAAGGCCCCACTCACCTGGTGATTGCATTTTTTGTTTATTATTAGAACAACTTGATCAAAAAATTAAGCCTCTTGACTCCAATACAAGTGGGTCTCTCTTAGTGTGATCTGAGTACATATATCATTTTTACCAACTGAAGCCCTTATCTGTAAAGGAATGTGCAACGGAAGGAACAGGAGCACAGACTTCCCTCCCAGGGCCTGGGAGGAACCTGGCTGGTTGGTGTGAAGGCTGTGGCTCCACACCCCACTCACACACACCACAGCATTGGAGGAAGACAGGGACCTAGAGAGCTACTGAAGGGACTGTCTTTCCCACCCCAGGGCAGGCCAGGCTGGAGCCAGGAATCTGGGGTTAGGGCAGCAGGCGCAGCTCAGCAGCACTCTTGGGGAGGGGGACTCTTGGTCACCTCCCACTGTTCCCCTGCCCAGCTGAGATGTCAGGCCAGCCCTGCATTGGCTATAGGAAAGCTGCTCTGCTGAAGGGGCAGACAAGTTGTGGATGAGGGCCCAGTGCCAGGCAGGACCGATCAAGCCCAACTCACCTGCCCTGGCTCTCCAGGACTTGGCAAGGCTGCCAGGTGCAGGCAGGGGGAGAGTCTGCTTTCAGTCAGCCAAGATGAGGGGCTCTTGGGGGTCTCTGACCCTGCGGAGCCAGTGGAGGAAAGGAGTGGAGGCAAGAGATTACAGCATCCCAGAGGGAGGCCGGGGAGGGGGACAGAGACCCCAGCCCAAGCCCCCACAATCCTCAGGCAGCTGGAAAAGGCAGGCGACCAACAGATGGGCCTGCTGGGCGGGTTTCCTCTCTGGCAGGCAGAGGGCAAGGGCCGCAGACGAGTCCCACGGATCCTTCGAGAAGCCTGAGCCAGACATGTGAATGTTTCTGGGGGATCTGAGTAGCTTCAGGGGCATGAGAAGCCAAAGGGAGGGTCGGTGTGGGGTGCATGCCTTTAGCTGGGGGACCAAGGCGGAAGAGATGTGGTAGCATGAAGATCTTAGAGCTACAGCAAGGACAGGTGAGGCGGATGGACCAGAGATAATAAATTCCCTTTGCCAAATCTAAGTTCTTGCTCTGCGAGCCCAGAAGAGGAGAAGCAAGCCTCACCTAAACAACTCCAATGGGGAAGGCGTGAGGTGGCGTGAGGGAGGGAGGATTCCACAGAAAGCACCTCTGCGATCCCGTCTCTCCTCTGCTCTACAATCACTGGTCCCCATTGCTCAGAGGATCAAGTCCAAGCTTCCCAGGCACCTACTCATGGTCTCCAAACACACGGGTCCTCCCCACCTTTCTGGTGCCATCCCCACTCCCTACCATACAGTCTTGGTGGCCACTAACTTGACTGGCTCACTGCCCATTCAGTGGAACTGCATCCACATGGGTCTCTCTTCCTCGCAGAACATGCCAACTAGGGGCAGCAAAGGGAGCTCCGTGGGATGAACTAGCTCACTGCAGCCTCCACCTCTACCTGGGCTTTAGCAATCCTCCCTCCTCAGCCTCCCAAGTAGCTGGTACTGCAGGTACACACCACCACATGCAGCTAATTTTTTAGTTTGTTTTACAGACAGAGTCTTGCTATGTTGCCCAGATTGGTCTCCATCTCCCAGGCTCAAGCAATCCTCCTGCCTCAGCCTACTGAGTTGCTGGGACTTACAGGTGTGAGCCACCATGCCTGGCTAACGATAACCTGTGTGACTTGGAAGCCCAGCTCCATCCCTGAGTAACTCACTGACTGAACAAATTACTTGACTATCCAGCCTGTTTTCCTCACCTGCAAATGGGCTTCTTTGAAGCCCAGCACATTCACTACCTTTTCTCCTCGGCCGCCTCCTTCTTTACTGTTCTGGGGTGTTATCTGCCTTTCTAAGCCTAGAGCTAGTGGGGTCACTGTACCAGAACTGCTGCCCCAGCACTCCTGTGCTCTGTCCTGTCTGCCTTCTGGAGACAACAGAACTGCTTTTGGTGGCTCCCCCGCCCCTCCCAGGGCCCCTCCTCCGGGGTCTCGCAGTTCGGGTTGGGGTCTGTACTGATGAATCCCAGAGACCCAGCACAGCCTTGGAGGCTCACCGGGGTCTCACTGCCCAGCCTGGAAGCACGCGGGGCAGAGACCTGGGCTTCTGATCTCTGCCTCCCTGCAACCCCTCAAGAAGCGCTGAGCAGCCCGTAGGCGCGCCAGGGCCGTGGGTGGACTGCCTGCCTGCACATTCTCGCACCTTCCTGGAGGAAGCTTCCAGAACAGAACAAGGAAGACCAACGGCTGGGTGGGGTTCCCTCGGTGGAGGAGCCGCAGGGGCCCAGCTTGGGAACCGGGTTATCAGGGGTGTGGCTCTGCAGAAAGCGTCCTGCCACGTCTCCCTCCCTGTCAACCTTGGGGAAGGAGAGAGGCACCCTTGGGGACAGAACTGGCCAGTTTCACCGGCGGCGGCTTCCGCAGGAACGCGGAGGAGGGAGACAAGGGGGCGGGGGAACACTTCCTGTTGGGCAGGAATGGGTGTTACATAGCTAGATCTTTAAGCATCAGAAAGACAGCTACCAGACCCACTATGGCTGGGAGGTGGCAGGGGATGGGAAAGGTGGCCCTGTCACCTCCGAGAAGGCGCCTTCAGCCTGGGGAGACGCTGTGAGCAAACCCCCTGAAAGCCTTGTGGGGCCATCATGTGTGCTCTGGAGCCCTCTTGTGGATTCTTGCGGTAAGTGCATACAGGCTTGCAGTGCGTTTCTCCCACGTTTTAACCTTTCGCTTGTTCTCTCCTCCTCCCACCACTCTTCCCAGTAAATGACACCTTCAAAACCACACGCACACTCGAGCAAAACGTCTGTTGTGGATACCATGAGAGTCACTTCCTAAATACCCTGAAAGAAAGAGCTTTTTGACACACAATTAACACATTTGTCTGCTCCTGGGCAAATGTCAATATTTGCTCATTGAAATTTCCCTCCCTCATCCACACTAAAAGAAACAAAATAACTCCTCCGGTTGTCTGGCTCTTATTATTACTTGGAATCCATGTCTGAAGTCGTTTGAGTTTCTAACTCATCCACCAACCAAATGTCATAAACCTTTGTGGGAACTGTGAAAATAGGAACGAACGGTGAGCCAGTCGTTCATTCATTCACTCACTCATTCAGCAAGAACTTACTGAGCACTTCGTTTGTCCAAGCAAGGTGCCAAGGATGCTGGGAAGCAGCCGTGCCATCATGCTAAGAGCAAAGCCTGTGAAATCAGGCACACATGAGGCCGCCTTCCCGCTTGCTTTCTATTAATACAAGCTTTGTGACATTGAGTAATACATACGAAGAACCAGTTTTCCCATTATTTGCTAAAAGCGGGATGATAGAACCTCCTCATAAAGGTGCGGTGAGGAATAAATGAGATAATGTCATAAAGCACTTAGCTCCTAGAGTGGCGGCTGCTGCTATGATATACAGAATGACCACCAGGTCTGGAAATGTATGTGAACACAGAATTCATGGCTGGTTGATAATTAAACAATATTGCCTGTGTCTCCGGACTTTACGACCCCCCTGTGTTGCCCCTGCCCTTGATGAGTTTTCAGTCTAGGCTACTGGTTCTCGAAGTGTGGGCCCCAGAGCAGCCACAGCAGCATAACCTGAGAATGTGTTGGAAGTGCAAATTCTAGACCCTCTGAATCCGAAACTCTAGGGGTAGGGCCCAGCCATCTGTGCTCCAACAAACCCTCCAGTGATTGTGATACACGCTCCAGTTGGAGAGTTACTAATCTAGTGGAAAATGACACAAGTATAAGCAAATAACTACCATACACGGACACATCCCTGAAGAAGTGACATCATGGGCAGGGCTTGAAGGAAGAACAAGTGTTCTCAGGTGGGCATGAGCCACATGAGGAGAGATTGGCACCTACAAAGCCCCGGAAGCATGAAAGGGAAGCGAATGTTGAGGGAACCACAAGTGATTTGGCAGGGCTAGAGGAGAGGGCTAAAGAGCCAGGTGGGGAGTGTGGGAGGTGAGGCTGGGAAGGGGGGCGGGAGCGAGACTATGATGCCCTTTACGTGCCCAGATAGGGAATTTAGATTTTATCCTGTAAGTGACGGGTAACATGCAAAGTTTTTAATGGAGAATAATATGACCAAATTTGAATTCTAGAAAGAAAGCACTCTTGCAGCATTATGGCCTGGAGGCAGGAAGATCAGTTGGAAAGCTTCTACAATAATGGAAGTGAGAGTCCATGTGGGCCTGAACTCAGGCCATGGCTATGGAGATATCGAGAAGTGGGTGGGTTGAGAGATATTTGGGAGGAGAATTGACAGGACCCATGGGGGAGGCATGAGAGCGGGAAAGGTTGAGGGTATCTCCGAGGGCTCTGCTTTGCTGGTATTTCTAGAAAAGATGGAACCGGCACAGAGAAGCAATGACTTCAAGTCTGGACACAATGAATTGAGGGAGCTCAGAAGAAAGCTCTGGGCTGGTAGCTGAAGCAGAAATCAATTATGCCTGTGTTGTTTGTCTCCCAATGTTTATCATGCATGCATTCATTTCAGGAAATACTGGATTGCTATCATGCACCAGAAAGGTTCTAGGAGGGAGTGAAAAACACAATAGCCAGAATCTGCTCCCAGGACTTACACAGCAGTGGGGGGACCAGAAATACATAACCAAACAGATACATAAACAAACGTGTTTCAGGTAGTGCCAGGTGCTGTGAAGAAAAGTAAGAGTAAGAGTGTGGAGGGGTGGGGGAATTCAGGCAGAGCAGTCAGGCATGGCCTCTCTGAGGAGGTGACATGGGCTAATCGAGAAGTCGGAACCAGGTGTGTGGAAATGGGAGGACAGTGCTCCCAGGCAGGGGGAACAGCAAGCGCCAAGGCTCTGAGGTGGGAATGGGTTTGACATGATGGTGGGAAGGAAAGATGGCAGCACAGCCAGCCAGTCATGGGACACGAGGTCAGAGAGGTGGACAGGTACGTTTCTAGGGACTGGTGAGATGCCGTAATACATGTGAAAGTGTTTAGTGAACAATCTCTAGAGCCATGTACCAAAAGGAATATGAAGATGGTATCTGCAAGAGGGAGAAAAGAAGAAACAATTCACAATTCTTAACTGAAGCAAGAAGCATTTGGGTCCAAACAGGAAAAATTCAGTCTATAACTGTCATGTGATATTAGAATAATTTCCAGAACAGATACTTTGAAAGGAAGACGAAGAAGGAGGAAGAGCAGGAAGAAGAGGAGAAAGAGGAGGAGGAGAAGGAGGAGGAACAAAAGAAAAAGAAAAAGAAGAAAAGAAAGAAAAGAAAAATTTGCTTTCGCTTTAAGAATATGGTTAACAGGCCCAGGCATGGTGGCTCACGCCTGTAATCCCAGCACTTTGGGAGGCCAAGGTGGATGGATCCCTGGAGGCCAGGTGTTCGAGACCAGCCTGGCCAACATGACAAAACCCCATCTTGACCAAAAATACAAAAATTAGCCAGGCATGGTGGTGGGCACCTGTAGTCCCAGCTACTCAGGAGGCAGAGGCACGAGAATCTCTTGAACCCCGGAGATGGAAATTGCAGTGAACTGAGATCGCACCACTGCACTCCAGCCTGGGTGACAGAGTGAGACCCTATCTTAAAAAAAAGAAAAAATAGGTTAGCGGCTAAGCTGATGTAGGTGGTAGATGGTGGCAGATCTAAGTGCTGGCAGATCTTGGCGGTGGGGGATTGGAAACGTAACCCCTCCTAGTACAGATGGATGAGGATTTCAAAGCAGAGAGGGACGGAAAGGGGATGAGACAAGGGTCCTCCCTGCCCTGGCTAGACTGGGGCTCCCTCTGGTGGTGCCATTGCCCCAGGAGGCTGGGCAGAGGCGCTTCACCATCCCTGCAGAATCTGAGGCCAGACCAGAAGGTGAGGCCCACAGGCCTGGGCACGCTGAGCCTCACCCTTGCGAATGAAACCAGATGGAGAGACCCAGGCCAAGGCAGAGAGAAGTGAGTTCAACTGGGTAGCTCATGCACCACCCCAGCCCAAAGAGCTCTGTCTTCTGCTTCCAAGATTAAGTCCAGGGCAACTTCCCAAGGCACACCTTTAGCCACGGCAGGAAATAAGGGCTCCCCAGCCCACAGAGGGGCCTGACCAACTCCTAGGAGGAAAATAGGGCATCTCCGCCCACACAAACCACCCCCAGAATCGCAGATGCCCCCATCCACAAGAGCAAGAGTGACCGGAGCTGGCCTTGCCACCACCAGTCTGATGTCCTCCTTCGTACACCCCACGGACACCTTCCCTTCCCACTGCCTCCACATCCTGCCCCGCGGCTGCGTCTCCTGCCTCTGAACCTCTGCCTGTGTGTCTAGAACAGCCTCGTTCCTCTACTTTGTTGAGCCATCTCCTTCCCACCGGTACAGCCCAGCCCAACACTCCACCCACCCCACCCCAGGAAACTTACCAGGACTGACACTGGTTACTGCCCAGGCCAACATAAACAGACGCACTGATACATACGTTCCCATCTCTATCTCAGCTCTCAGGAGCCTCGGCACCTCCTAGCCAATCACAGACCCAGCAGTGCCTTCAGTGAAAAACCAGACACTTTAACCATCTCTCCTCCTGACAAGGATGAAAGTAGAACCAACAGCGACATCAGAAAGGAAACTGCGTCTTACTCACTTGATGAAATACACAGCTCCTTCCTGGGTGGAATCCACTTCCCAGCCCTTGGGCAAACCTGTGAGGAAGCAAAATCACCAGAATGAGATACCCTGGGATCAACCTCTCTTCCTCTCTTCCCACAAACCCCACCTGCACTTAGGAGGGATGGGTGCCTGGACAGTCAGGAAAATCCAAATATAAGCCAGCCGAGTTCAAACCAACCATTCCATCCTTTTTTGTCCGTGATTTCTAGCAGTGAGATTCCCAGCAAATAATGAGAGATATGGGAGTGGACGGGATGTCCTCCGTCAATGAGCGGTGAAGTGACCGAATGAATCATAGCCTGGCAGGATGCACTTATTCATTCAACAAATCTTTACTGAGCATCTACGATGCGCCAGGCCCTGTGCCAGCCCCTGGATACAACAGTGAACACACAGATGGTTCCCCTGGAAGTGTCCTCAGGATCATCTAACCAGAAGGGCAGGTCACTTGCCCCAGGAACTCATCACAGATCATTAACACCTAAGATCCGAGTAAGACTCAAGTCTCCAAATACCAGGCCAGCGTTATGGCCATCAGGCTGTGCTCTTTCTGGACAGGAAACCAAGGACCTAGGAAATCAGCCCCAGGAAAATGAAGAGACTTGCAATTTTTAAAATCTTTAATAGTGTCTCTGAAAAAAAAAAATTATCCATGGAAATGCTCAGAGGAGAATCACAGAATCTCAGTGTGAGCAAGGAAGTTGACAGTGGCCAGGAGGCACCCAGGCAGTCCCCACAGGTGGCCATAGCACCTCCATCTCCAAAGATCACTCATAGGCACTATCTCATCCTGCTCGCTCTCCCAAAACAGCCACCCTGGGCAGCATCCCGCCTCCCCGGCAAACAGGATTCCTTCACCCCATGGCTGAGGAGGAGGAGCCTTTTGAGAGACCCAAGAGAGTCCACTGTCAGAGGTGGGGACAGTCAGGGAGCTGGCTGAGAACATTCCTTTTGGGAGTGCGAGCCTCCTGGCTGACATATTGGAAAACAGGTGGGGATTCTCTTGATGGACAGTGACTGCCACCTTTCTGGTCAGTCCACACGCCTGCCTTGTGTATGAAGTCTTACGAAGCATAGCTATTCACTGCTGGTCTGACTGTCTCCTGCCATGTTAGCAGCTGCTTTGAGGCACCAGCTGCTGGGGAGCAGTGCCTGGGTTCTGCAGAGTGGCAGGTCCAGTTTCTAATCATTCATTTTATTCACCTGTATTTATCAAGGGTCTATATTTCCACAGTTGCTGCTGATGGTGATGCTGCTGTTTCAGCAAAACAGGGCAGCCAGCAAGCCCAGCTCCTGCCAGGACTTGGCCCACCTATCACACCAGCTACCACTTAGCGAGTACTTCCTTCCTCTAAGCTATGCACTTTGCCTCTGCTAGTGCATTTAATCTGCATAGCAACATTATACAATAGGTGTCCTCCGAAACATTTTCGCCGATAACAGATGAGGAAACAGAGGCCCAGACAGGTTCATCAACTGGCTCAAGGTCACACAGGAAGTGTCTGGGCCGGGATGTGAGTGCTGCTGTGCTGTCTCCAAAGCCCACACTCTTTCCTCTGTGCCGCTCCATAAATGCTACTTGTTCCCCTCTGTCTCTGTGGGAGGACGTTGCCATTCAGGAGGGCGTGGGTTGGCAGTCTCCCCAAGTAGAGGGATCCCCATTGGGTCAGAATCATAAATAATTCTGCCACTGTGATGTGCCTGGGAAAGAGGCCAGTATGGATTATGTCCCCTGCCTTTTTCTAGCAACTTCCCTCCACACTGCCCTCTCTGCCTGGGCAACACCAAGAGTGCTTATATTCCCATCCAGGCGGAGTGCCCGCTGAGGCAGCTGCCCTCGCGGCAAGCTCCGGGGGCATCTTAACCCCTTCCCAGCCTTAGACAACCAGTTGGCTGCAGCCAAAAATGAAAGCATTGGCTCACAGGCTGGTATTCATCTTCCACTCCTACCTAGGATGATAATGAGGTGGAAGGACTCAACCTGTAAACAGCTGAAACACTGAAGGTGACACCACCATCAACCTGGTAGAAGAAAACAGCCCTGGCCTTAGAGTCAGGAGGCCTCGCTGCAAGTTGGAAATACAATGGTGACAATAACAGCAGCAGCCACCTCCATTTTGGGAGCCACCTCTCTGATGTAATGCTACTACTTTTTTGAGGTTCATAATCCTCTCCCCATTATAAAGATGAAGAAGCTAAGTCCAGGAAGAATTAAACCCCTAGTGCAAGAGCACACTGGAAGCAATAGAACCAAGATTGAGCTCAGATCTCTCTGCCTCCAAAATGTATGCCTTTAACCATGACACCACTTTGCTTATTAGTCAAATGGCCTTGAGCCAGGTACTTCCTCTCTGTTCTTCAATGTTTCTACCATAAAATGAAGAGTCGAACTCCATGATCCCTGAAGTCTCTTCCAGAAATGATCCCAGCTCAGAAGCTAAAAAGAAAAGGACTCTGAACAAGCCAAAGGCTTCATCCTGTGTGTCCAGCAGTGCCAGCTGTGCCCATGATTGACGGAGGCCTTGGAACCAGGCGCCTAGTGTCCAGTCCGGTGAAGCGCTGGAAGGCGAGAGGGGGAAGGGCTGGAAGGCGGGAAGGGGAGAGATATCTCCCCGCACTGTGACCCACACCCCCTCTTACTGGCCCGTGGTGGCGTCATGAGGAGGATGAATGGCTGTTCAGTTAAAGTACCTAGGCCTTGTGATTCTTGATGTCTCTACCTCAACAACTTAGACTGAAGTCTTTTTCCTTGGTTGTTTCTTCATTTCTGACCTGTTTGTGTCCCACCTTTCCCACTAGCCCTGAGGGCTACCAGTGATGTTTTCTCCATAATCAGCAATGAATGTCAGCCTTGTCCCCTTTCATGTTTCTCCTCAGTGGGAGAAACAGGCGCTCCCACTAGCTACATGGGGCCATTTACATTTGAATTAATTAGGATTAAAAATCCATCTGGGCACAGTGGCTCACACCTATAATCCCAGCACTTTGGGAAGTCGAGGTGGGTGGATCACCTGAGGTCAGGAGTTTGAGACCAGCCTGGCCAACATGGCAAAACCCCATCTCTACTAACAATACAAAAATTAGCTGGGTGTGGTGGCACACACATGTAATCCCAGCTATTTGGGAGGCTGAGGCACGAGAATCTCTTGAACCCGGGAGGCAGAGGTTGCAGTGAGCCGAGATTGTGCCACTGCACTCCAGCCTGTGCGACAGAGTAAGACTCTGCCTCAAAAAAAAAAAAAAAAAAAAAAAATTCAGGGCCTCAGTGATGCTTGTAACATTTCAGTTGTTCATTGCCACATGTGGCTCATGGCAATTGTATTGGGCAGAGCAGATAGAGAACCCTTCCATCACGACATAAAAGTTCTAGAGCGCAGCACTGGGGGCTGGCTTCTGCCAGTTCAAGAGCCCTTGAGACAGGGGATTTTCTGACTGGGCAGAGGGATGAAAGATGAGTAAAAATCTTTGTCCTCAAAGGCCCATCTCAGATACTAATTTTGGAGGTGGAAGCTTAGAGAGACACTGAGGTGAGCTCCAACAAGCCTGCAATCTCCCCCAGATGGCAGGCAGTCCAAATGCTAAGCTGAGTCCATCCATGGAGAAAGGAAAAAGTCAGAAGCAAAGTTGGGGCACAGGATTCCTGCTGCCACCTCAAGCTATTACATCCTCCTCAATTGCAAAGGCAGGGACAGACAGGTTCCTTACCTGGGCAGGAGGTGTGTCCACTCTGGATGGGTGACTTTGTTCCAGGGTGCACCCAGCTGGTTGACTTTTCCTCATCACTGCAGAAAGATCAATAAGAAAGTGTCAGCTACAAGAGAGGCTTTTCTGAGCAGGACACTCATCTCCAGATTCACATTAACACCGACTATTCAATCCCAGACACATGAGATGAGAGCATCCACAAGGCTGTTCATTCATTCACATTCACAGAGAATTATTTACTAAGCACACTCTGAGGATTTCAGGATGAATAATATCGAATCCCTAACCTCAAAGAATCTACATCCCACTGGGAAACAAATGCATAAAAAGATAGCTGCAATACAATATGATAGGCACTGTAATCCCTATTGTAACTATGTGTAGAAAGTGTGATACCATCGCAAAGAAACAAGGGCTACCTGGCATGAGGTTAAGGAAGGGGAAGCATGAAGGCTTCACGGCAGAGGCAATGTTAGAGATGATTGCTAAAGTCAGGTGGGAAAAACAAGGAAGGTCCTTAACTGGCAGCTTCTCGAATGGATAAGAAAAGGAGGAGACTGCATGAACCCATAGTCCTTATGTGTCAACAATGCTACATATTTTTCATTCACGACATTCCCTCACACTGGAAATTTTACAGATTATGAATCGAGGTTCAGAGAAGTTAAGAAATTTGGCCAAAGTCACAACCTAGATCTGTCCCTAGATTCAGACCTAGATTCAGACCTAGATCTGTCCCCGACAAAACTCTTTCTGATACCTCACACCCAGCAAGGCAGGCTCCCCAGCAACACAGACCCTCTGGGCTCTAGATTGGATGGCAGATGAAGCCATCATCATTTCTCAATCCCCACCGACCAAGTGACACAGACTTCCAGAGCCAGATGTGATCCAGCAAGAAGCATCTGACTGTCTTGGCTACTTCAGGTATGTGGAGGAAGGGACTCTCAGGTCACGTGGATCACCCAGGCTTTAGGATGGCATCTTGGAGCCCAGGACAAGACTCTACTCAATGTCTTTAAGGTATAATGGATGTAGAATAAACTCCACTAAGAAAGACTCCATTAAACTTTTATTAAAATGAGATATCGAATAAACGCCCTAAAAAATTTACAATTTAATAGTTTTGACTTATCTATACACCTGTGAAACTGCCACCGAAATCAAGATAATGAATTCCCAAACTTTCTGTGTGACCCTTTGTAATTCCTCCTTCCCACCCCCAACCCCAAGCTCTTTCTATCCTCACCCCTCTCCCCAGCAACTGATTTGTTTTCTGTTACCATAGATTAGTTGCATTTTCCAGAGTTTTATATAAAAGGAATCATACAATCATACAATACAGTCATGCAATCATACAATCATACATCTTTCCCTGAAAAACTTTTTTTTTTTTTTTTGACGGTCTCACTCTGCCATCCAGACTGGAGTGCAGTGGCACAATCATAGCTCATTTGTAGCCTCAAACTTCTGGGCTCAAGCAATCCTCCCACCTCAGCCCCCTGAGTGCTAGGACTACAGGCATGTACCACCATGTCTGGCTATATTTTTTCTTTCTTTTTTTTTTTTTTTTTTTTTGAGATAGAGTATCACTCCGTCACCCAGGCTGGAGTGTGCAGTGGCACGATCTTGCCTCACTGAAATCTCTGCCTGGGTTCAAGCAATCCTCCCACCTCAGCCACCCAAGTAGCTAGAGTTACAGGCATGCAACACCACGCCTGGCTAATTTTTCGTGTATTTTCAGTAGAGACGGAGTTTCACCATGTTGGCCAGGCTGATCTCAAACTCCTGACCTCAAGTGCCTCAGCCTCCCAAAGTGCTGGGATTACAGGCGTGAGCCACTGCACCTGGTCTCTGGCTATTTTTTTTTTGCAGAGACAAGGTCTTACTATGTTGCCCAGGTTGGTTACAAACTCCTGACCTCAAGTGATCCTCCTGCCTTGGCCTCCCAAAGCACTGGGATTACAGTGTGAACCACAGCACCCAGCTGTCTGACTTTCGTGCTTTTTTCCATATTGTGGTGTGTGGTCGTTTGATTCCATTTAATTGCTGAATAGTATTCCATTGTAGGAAACACCACAGTGTGTTCATTCATTCACCTGTTGCTGAACTTACGGGTTGTTTTCAGTTCTGGGCCATTACAAAGAAAGCTACTATGAACATTTGTGTACTAGTGTTGGTGTGAAAATATGCTTTTTTTTCTATTGACTCCACTCATTTTCTCTAAGGTTGGACACCTGCTACAGGAAGAGATCTCCCAGCTAACCTACCCCTCTGATAAGCAGAGAAAAAACAAAGTCACTGTTCTAGTGACTTCTGAGCTCAGGCACCATTGAAGAAGACTCTAACATACTGGGTCTCTGGTCTTGGCTTTGGTCCTGGGAGGCAGTGGAAGAGGAAGCCAATAAAAAGGAAGGGTTTGGAGAGAAAGTCAGCCAGTGCCCTCACCTCCATTACATCTGTCCTGAGATTTTTCAGCCCCTGACTCTCCCCTCCTTGCACACTGTCCGCCCCCTCAGATTCCCATCTATCTCTACCCCACTGGATATCACAGACAACCCTATCACACCCTTGACATTCCACCACAGCCCTCAACTTCCTCTTCCCCTTGGCTTGGCACCATCTTGCACCCTTGTCAGCACCACTGTCTGGGACAACGCAGTCACAGGCTGTCTCCACTCCAGCACCGGGCTGATGGGGGAACTGGGCCTCGAAGAACTGGGGTCACTGCAAATCCAGTCTCCCAGCTTAGCTGAGCCCTGAGTGCCACCTAGAATCTTCTTCAAGGTCCCCAGTCAGTTGCCATCTGCAGAGTGCTCCAAGCCTTTCCGGCTAACCTCAGGTCCCAGGGCTGCCTCTGCTACCTAGCCCCTCTCCGGCACAGAGGATCTTATGTCTTAATGAAGAAAAAATAGAAAAGATTAGGTGGGAGCTTTCCCAGTATGCCCAATCACCTCACCACCAAAACTTACCCAGATTCTCACCCATCCTTTAATACTTGTCTTCCTCTGGAGAAGAGGTAGCCCTCTCTCCCCTTTAAGGCTAATCTCTCTGCCTGGGTTATCGTCCCCCTCCTCTTCCATCTTTTATAGAACCTCCTTCTGTTGAGCATCCCAGCCTTGCATCTTCACCTCCTCTCTCTTTATAGGGTCCATCCCTTTATCCTCCTCCTCTGTCTGTGTCTTCTATAGTCTAAACACGCTGCCTCCCACTCAATGCCATGTCCCCTGGCAGCTTCATGTCTCGCACTCCTCATTCCTGACCAAACATTCAACAGTAGTCACTCCTAGCTTTCCCCACTTTCTGGCCTTTCATTCACCAATCCACTGCAACCTGGTTTCTGTTCCCAGCTCTCTCCTGAAACCACTTTCCTAGACGTCATTAGAGGCCTCCCCCTCTCCTAAATCCACTAGGCATTTTTTAGCCTTTGGCCCGTTTGGCTTTTCTGCTGCATCCAATACTGTTGAATTCCTTCCTTTTTTCTTCTTAACATCCCTCTTCCTTGCCTTCTGGGGTGGCATTCTACCCTGGTCCTGGTGCTGCCCACCTCTGCAACCTCTCGGTCTTACTCTCCAGCCTGGCCTCTGTTCCTCTGTCCCTTCCTTGACACTGGTGCTGCCTGGGGTATACTCCTGTCTTTTCCCTCGCACTCTTCTGGGTCGTTCTACCCCCACACGATGACCCTTTTCCAGCCCAGGCCTCTCTCTTCAAACTCTATCCTGTATATCCAGTTGTCTGTTAGACAGCATCTCCTGAATGTCCCCCGGGAACCTCAACTGCAGTGTTTCCCCACTAACCCTGTACTCCCCCTAATATGCACTCCCCTTGCCATACTCCTGACCTCTGTCAACTCAAGCTGGAAATTCTAAGCTTCACCTCTGATTCCTCCCTTTGTCTCCCCTCCCCAGAATTCAAGCATTAGAAGAATATTCCTGATTTGGTTCCTGAAGATTTCTCCCATCTCTCCCTCCCCTTCACTTCTATTCTCACCATTTTAATTCGGGCCCCATCAGCTGTCTCCTGGACTTTTGCAATTGTTTCCTAACTGCTTTCCATACCTTAAGTTTCTCCTCCTGCCTCTCGCTCAGCCTCAAATCATCGCTCAGGAAGCTGCCAGAGACAAGGCTCTAAACACAGACTCGATGATGTCAAGTCCCAGTTTGAAATCTCCTTTGGCTTCCCATCACCTATAGGATGGAGTCCCGACCCCTTAGCTTAGCACATAAGGGCTCTCTCAAGCTGCCTCTTCCTACTTTTTCTCCTGGTCCTCTACAGTATTTCAGCAGCTCCACTCCGTCTCCACTGAACCTCTCCGAGTGCTCTAGGTTACCTGTTCCTCAGCCCCCACTGGTGCCTTTATTTCCCCAAGCCTCTACTTCCAAGGCTTCTTTCACTCTTGTCTCTCCTCCAGAATCAGCTCAAATGCTTCCTCCTCTGGGAAGCCCTCACTGAACTCCCTGGAGAGCATTAGTTCTTTCCTTCCCATAGCATCATGCAAATGCCTCAAGAATGTACCATATTATTTCCTAAGTATTGATTTATGTATTCTCCCTGTTAACTTAAAGTAAAAACCTATATCTTATTGTTTTTATCTCCAGTGCCTAGCACTGCAGCAAAGAGTGGATGCCCAATAAATGTTTGTAGAATGAAAGAGGAAAAGAATCTGGATGGCAAGTAAGAGATCAGGAAGAAAGAAGAGAATGAACCACTTCATCAGTATACCTGAGGGGCTCATGGAAATTCACATTCTAAGACCCTACCCCAGATCCTCTGAATAGGAATCTCCTGAGGTAGGGCTCAGGAATCCACCTTCTTAATAAGTTCCTTGGGTGATTCTTATAAACTCTAATGTCTCTAGCCACTGCAGTTTTAATATTGCAGAGGTTCTGTTATTTAAGAATCTGACTTAGGGTCAAGAACTTTAATGGAGTTAATTTCTAAGATAATATAATTACAACATCAATTATGATCATGGTGGTGATAATTACAGAACAAAGGCCTAAAGCAAATGTGGAAACTTAGAAACACCAAAGAGAAACTACTGCCTGCCTGAGCCCCTGCAAAGGCAGTTTGGTACCTGGGGAAGCAGTGCACTAAGTCAGCAGATGCGGGGCTGAGTCCCAGCTCTGATTAACACGTGGTTTTCTCTTAGACCGGTACTTCAATATCTCTGGACCTCAGTTCCCCATTTGACAAATGAAGGGGTTGTTTCTAAGATTCCTTGTAGCTCCGATGTTTTTAAGTGGCTATCTTGAGGAAGGAAAAGCTCGTCAAGTGTGGGTAACAGTCCAAGACGCTGTGCTTCTAGACTTGCTATATTTCTGGAAGATGTCTATCCTGGCAAAAGATGACTATAGTAGAAGCGAGCCAAAAGACAGCCAGCAGGGCCACTTTGTTATAATGAGATTATGCCAGAGCCACTTTGGCTTATGAAATTAATATAACAGTGCTAATATATTACTGAGAGTAGCAAAGGCGCGCTCTCTCTCAAGAATGCCAAACATACAGTGGGCATCGTCCCCCTCCCTCTTGACCACAGCCCCATAAAGAAGCAGGACAGGAGAGGAGAACTGCTGTCCTGGGCACGCTGAGTCTGGGGCGAGGGTTGCCAGGAACTGAGTGGTAGAGGCAGGATCTCCTGGTATGTTGTCACTTAGCCCAAGTCTTCCCATAGGAAAGTCTCGGGGAAAATGAAAGACCTACCTCTGGCCCTTTCAGGGAAGGAGCTGAAAAAACTCCAGGCTGGGCATTGGTCTAGTCATCCTCCTGGAGGCCTCGCATGTGACCAGGGAGAGGGAGAAAGGGCAGCACTCCCCTGCCCTGCCCAGCCTTTCCAAGCTGAGGGAATGCCAAGCCTTTGCTGGACTTTGACCCATTGAGGAAAAGGCGGGAGACACATTCAAACAGGCATGGTGATAAACTTATTAGTCATGCCCGCCCTTGTAGCCACCGCTTCACCCACCTTCTCCGGCCTGCCCCCAGCCCCGCCACTTTTCAAGTTGGGCAACTTAATGGAAAAAAATGAAATAAAAAGAAGAGCGAGACCAACATACTTGATGAAGAAGATTCTCCCACCGCCGTCAACTCCGTAGGCCCACCGGCCGGGCAGGTCCAGCCAGTCAATCTCATCGGCCATCTCGGTGTCCCTGCAGCCCCTCTCGCTCTCTGCGCCCCCAGGCGCCGGCTGGGCAGGGGGCTTGGTACCCGGGAACCCCCACTTGCTGCCCCCTTCCAGAGGCCGTGGTGGGGGAGGGGGTCCGGCCGGGCTGGCGGCGTCGCTCCCGGGTCCCTGGCAGTGTGGCTGGCCTCCCCACTGAAGACGCGCTGGCCTCAAGCCGGGCGGCAGGGAGCAGGCAAGCGCTTAACCCTGGCCGGCCGGGAGCCCCAGACACCACCTGCCTCCTCGTCGACTCGGGAGCTCCTCTTCGGACCGTTTCCTGAACTTTAATGACGGGCAATTAGCGCGGTGAGTAATTACGATGCCTCTCCTGCCGGGACTGTTAACGGGCAGCGCTGGGTCTCCGTTCCTCCTGGCTCTGCTGCCCTCCAGCCTGGCGGAGCCCGGAGAGCAGAAGCTGGAGCGGGGAGGATCCCTCCCCGAAGGGAGCAGGTTGCAGTGCGAGCAGGGGTGTTGCCTCTCCGCTCCCAGCTCCGATCTTGCACTTGAACCACCGGCGGGGCCGGGGGCGGAGCCGCGCCGCCGCCTCGGAAGGTAATTCACAGCCCCGAGAACTCGCCGGCAGCGCCAAGTCCCCCAGTCCAGGCGCACCGCGCAGAGAACCAGTTTGACTAAAAGAGCTTTGAATCAGGAACCTGGTGGACATGTCCAGCCACTGAACGGAAAAGGGGAAGTGATTAAACCTGGTTCTACTTGGTGGGAGGTTAGGAGAGGAACAAAGGTCAAAGGCACGGAAGCGTGGCGGGGCTGTGAGCAGCGAGGGGCCCGGGGAGCCTCTCCTAGCTCAGATGCCAGCCTGATTAGTCGAGCTAGTCCTTACCTTTCTTTCCCAGCACCTCCTCCAAGAAGTCTGCCATGACTAAGTAGAATCACAGGGAGACCTTAGAAATACTCAGAAACCAACAGCGTTTATGTCCCTCCATTCCATTCCCCCTAACTTGCACCAGAAATGGAAAAGGAAAAAGGAAGAAAAATGGAGAGAGAAGGGAATGTGTTATGTGTACAGAATGCAGACTGCAAGCATTTCATACTGGCATACCAAAAGCAGTATTGCTGGAGCCCACAGTTCTGCTATCTCAGGGTCTATATCAAAGTTAGCCAGCTTAGGCAACATAGCAAGACCCTGTCACTACAAATAATAATAATAATTAATTAGCTGGATCTGGTGGCACGAGCCTGTAGTCCCAGCAACTCAGAACACTGTCAGGAGGATCACTTTGAGCCGGGAGGTCGAGGCTGCGGTGACCTATGATCCTGCCAGTGTACTCCAGCCTGGGCAACAGAGCGAGACCCTGTCTCAAGAAAGAAAAAATGCTGAAGTCCATTTGGCTTTCCCAGCTTACTCCGGATCTGCCACTGGGGCTCCAGTTAGGTACATACAGTTCCAATCCATGTGCCAGGCCCAGGAGAATAATTAGACGATGAGAGAGACACCTGTGTTTAAAGGGAGCAATGTGTTCCATGACAGCTGGCAATTATCTGTTGGGCAAACATACGTTTTGTGAGCATTCCAGGAGACTTGATCCCCATTCCACATAGGTAATTCCTACTCATCCTTTCAGTGTCTACCCATGTGCCACCTCCTCCAGGAAGCCATTCCTGACACTACCCCGGAGAGATTTATATGTCCATCCTCCATGTGTCATGGCACCTGATGAATAACCCTATAGTAGCACTTATCACACTGTAATGCAATCCTTGATTTAGTCATCTGTCTCCTCCATTGGACTGTGTGCTCCTTGGGGCAGGAACTCCATCTTATCCATCTTTACAGCCCTGGCAGCTGCCTGCGGCACCAATTAACAATTTTTTTTTTTTTTTTTTGAGATGGAGTCTCGCTCTATCACCCAGGCTGGAGTGCAGTGGCATGATCTCGGCTCACTGCAACCTCCACCTCCCAAGTTCAAGTGATCCTCTCACCTCAGCCTCCTGAGTAGCTGGGGCTGCAGGCACTCACTACCATGCCTGGCTAATTTTTTTTGTATTTTCAGTAGAGACGGGGTTTCACCATGTTGGCCAGACTGGTCTCAAATTCCTGACCTAAAGTGATCTGATCCACCGGCCTCAGTTTCCCAAAGTGCTGGTATAACAGGCATGAGCCACTGCGCCCAGACCAATTAACATTTGATGAATGCTTGATATGGTCATAACTGAGAACTACTCTTAACTCTAACCACAATCCCGTACTTTTGGACTTTATTTAGAGGCACTCTCAATATAACCATCAGCAACATCAGGGTGTGTGTGGGGAGATCTTCCTGGGAAAAGAAACAGCCTGTGATCCTTCTCATAGATCCCAAATTCTCAACCTGGAGGGTTTAAAGTGTATACATCTGATAGATGGTAAAGCTAGGAGATGCCTCAGAGAACATTTAGTCCAATCCTCTTGTTTTGAATATGGCAAGTGAGGAACAGAGAAGGGAAAGGGGCTGGTCAAGGTCACTGAGAAGGGTGGTGGCTGAAAAGGATCTGCCCACCAGTGTCTCAGGCCAGAGCTGTTTTCATTACATCCTTCGCACTCCAACACTGGAAATGGACTCTGCCAACATCCTGGCTGCCAGATCTAAGTTAAGTCCATTCTCCAGAAGCAGAAGACACGCAGAAACCCATGATGTCCAAATTCTTTCTCTCTTCTCAGATCCTACAAATTTCTAGTAGAGAAAGCTTCATTTGACAATGAAGCAGAGCTGCACCTGGGAAGCACAGATGAAGGTCTAGGTGCCCCTTCGTTTCTGAATTGGAGAAAGTTGGCAGATCAAGGTAGCAGACTCTGCCAGGCTGCAGTCCCCTGTCACCAGCCATATGAAACACCTGTAGGACTCACGCCACTGACAAAGCACAGAGCCACCTGCCTAGCCCCTGAGATGGCCAAGAATATAAACGGCCAGAGTTGCTGCCAAGATGCCTCAAGGGAAAATACCAGCAATCAGTGCACTCCCAGTCCAACCTGAGCAACCAGTAAGGGCAGCTGCTTGTGCTGAACGTGGGCAGAAACAGGGGACAAGATGACATATATTTGAAAACATGTATTACACTACTGTCTTCTTCGAGCGCCTCTTGATCTATTTTTCCACGAGATTTTTGTCTTGTTTAATGTCTAATGTAGCCTGGGGTTCCTGGGGACATTTACCTAGATGAGAAAAGGCCAGTGGCTCAGATTTGTAAATGTTTATTACTCATTTGAAATAAGAAATCACGTTCGAAAATATTTCCCTAACTGTGGTCTAGTCTCGCTAGTGACTTTTTGCATGCTAGTTCTTGTTTATGATTAGTTATGATTAGTATTGATACTGCTAGTAACGACATTTTAGCAAAAGAGCTAAAGACATGTAGAAAAAGAGTAGAAAACCCAAATAAAAGCAGCTATTGGTTCAACAATTACCTAGAAGAGAGAAGGAGGGTTGATAGATTAAAATGAAAATCATACATGGCTGGCAACTAAGTCAGAAATTTAGCTGTCTGATTGCTTTTCCCCCCACAGCAAATTTTTTTATCCCTTTAAAAATGTTTATTTATTTATTTATTTGCTTAAAAACAGGATCTCATTTTGTCACCCAGGCTAAGGTGGTGCAGTGGCACAATCAGAGCTCACTGTGACCTTGAACTCCTGGACTCAAGCCAGCATCCCACCTCAGCCTCCCAAAATGCTGGGATTACAGGAGTGAGCAAGTGCGCCTGGCCTCTTTCATCTCTTTAAAAGGCAACCAAGCATTTGGAAAAAATATATCAGTAATATTTATAAATTATTCTGATTCTCTATTACATTCTGATGTCTTAATCACTTCAACATTACTATTTCTGGTTTGATATCTGTGGTAGGCTGAAAAACATCTCCTCAAAAGCTATCTGCATCAAATCCCTGGAATCTATTAATGTTCCCTTATTTGGAAAAAGGTCTTTGCAGATACAATTAAGAATCTTAAGATGAGAAAATCATCCTGGATTACTGGGGTGAGCACTAAATCGAATGACAAATGTCCTCGTAAGAGACACATAAGAAATGTAATAGAAGAGGTGGAAGTCATGTGACCATGAAAACAGAGATTGGAGTGATGTGGCCCCAAGTTAGGGAATGTTGGCAATCACCAAAAGTTAGAAGAGGCAAAGAGTACATTTTCCCCTAGAGCTTCCAGAGTGCAGCCCTGCCAATACCTGGATTTCATCCTGAACTGTGAGAGTATAAATTTCTATTGTTTTAAACCACCCAATTTGTAGTAATTTGTTACAGCAGACATGAGAAATTAATACAGTACCTACAAGAAAATCACAACTCAGTGAGGGCCAGGTGTGGTGGCTCACACCTGTAATCCCAGCACTTTGGGAGGCTGAGGCAGGTGGATAACTTGAGGTTGGGAGTTCAAGACCAGCCTGACCAACATGGTGAAACCCCATCTCTACTAAAAGTACAAAAATTATTTGGTGGTGCACGCGTGTAATCCTAGCTACTCGGGAGGCTGAGGCACGAGAATAGCTTGAATCCAGGAAGTGGAGGTTGCAGTGAGCCGAGATTGCGCCACTGCACTCCAGCCTGGGTGACAAAGTGAGACTCTGTCTCAAAAAAAAAAAAAAAAACCCTCAATGAGGACTGAAATAAATGTCCATTATTTTTACCTCTCCAGCATCTACTCTCCCTTCTTCTGTTAATAGCTGCAGGTTTCCTTTTGACATCTATCTACCCTCTGCCACTCTCAGCCTGTGTGGGCTGGCCCCACCTTTACTCTCAAGCTCCATTGAGGGTTGGGCTGTGACACAGATCTGCCCAGAGATCTGACAACTCTCCATTCCCCTGGTGCAGGAAAGGACACAAGACTCAGACAAGACCAATAAGACTCTGTTTTTTAAAGATGCCAAAATTCTCGGGAAGAAGCCCTTTTCCTCTTGCATTTGAAGGTGGCATGAGTTGTGTTGCCGTTGCTGGGGTCGTCATGCGGGGGCTGCCTGAAAGTGAAACCAACACAGGAGGAAGTGAAGCCAGAAGACGGCGAGAGAATGGGTCCTCCATATATCCTGGGAGCCCTGGGATCCAGCTTGCCAGAGAGGCTCTACCCCTATATTTCCAGCTATATGTGCCAATAGACCCCTTACTTCCTTTCTAGTTGGTTTGAGCTGGGTTTCTGCCCCTAACAAATGAAAAAGTCCTGACCGATATAAAAGTCACACACAAAAAAAGGCTTTTTGTGTGTAATGGGAAAGCCAAAGAGATAATCATGTGTGTTTCTAGTGACTCACAAATAGGAGCTCTTCTGTTCTGAGAAAACCACAATTTTAGATCAAGAAAGGGTCTTAGTGATCATCTACCCCAAAAAAACACATTTTTCCCAACGAAGATACTAGAGAATTCAGGAAAGTACCCAGAGTTGTGGCAATTCCACAGTAGAGTTAAGACCAAAACTCAAATCTCCTGAAAACCTGACCAGTAGAAAGTTCACATTGAGACATTTGCTACATCATTTAAACATATTTGGCCAAGAGACTCACATAGTTACAAGAAGATTATAACAGATTCCTTTGCTCTATAAAAGAATAGCCACAACAGCAATCTGCGTTGAGGGCTGGTGTTTAATAGTTATGCTCACCTGCAGGCAAGGTCACTAGCCACTGTTGATTTTCTTCCAAGAACTAGGAAGCAAAGGAAAGGAAGGCAACAGCTATCTCTGCTGGCATTCGAGATATGGCTGTGTAAATATGCAAGGGTCCAGACAGACTAGTTGCTTAATTAAAGTCATACCTCTGTAAGGACTTGAAAGAGAAGGGTTTCATTATAAAAACTGCCATTCTAGTGCTGGCATCCAGAGGATGGCAGAATTCTGAGGTTTCCCCAAAACCAGGTATATTGAATTGCATTGGTTCCACAGATATTTATTGATACCCTCTGTGGGCAAGGACAGAATGTCCCTCCTCTCAAGGAGTTCACATTTAATAAGCATGTGGTCTCAGAAGATAAGTCTAGAAAGAAATGGAGAGAGTAAAGGGAACAGAAGGAGCACAGAGGGCGCTCCTGTCTTATATTGTGAATATTTTACATAGGGTAGTGAGGAAGGGCCTCAGTGAGAAGAATGACATTTGCACAAAGGCTTGAAGGACAGGAGACAGCAAATCGTGTGGACACCAGGGGAAGCATGTTCTAGGCAGAGGAAATAGTAAGTACAAAGACCTTGTGGGTGGGAGCACCCTTGAAGTGAGAAGCGACAAGGAGGCCAGTAAGGCTGGAGCAAGGTGAATGAAGAAGAGAACAGGAGGAGATGAGGATGGAGGGTAGAGGGAGGCCAGGTCATTCCAAGCCAGTGTAAGGAGTTTTGCTTTTATTCTAAAATGAGACAGAAAATTGTTGGTTGGTTTTGAGTGCAGAAGTGACATGATCTTCAGGGCTTCATGTATTTAGAGGATCGCTCTGGCTGTTGTTTGAAATAGGGTCAAAGCAGATTCTAGTTAGGAGGCTATTGTAATAATCCAAGCAAGACATGAAGATGGCTTGGTTCAGGATGTCAGAGGGGAGAAGCAGTGAGAAAGAGTAAGATTCTGGGTAACTTTTGGAGATAGAACTGACAGGATTTGCTGATAGACTGTATTTGGGCTTAGAGGAAGGGGAGTCAGGATGACTCCAAGGGATTTGGCCTGGGTGGCTGGAAGGATAGACTAAGATGAGGGTAGGCTGCAGGTAAAGCAGGTGTGGCAGGGAGTTGGGGGAATCAAAAGTTCAATTTTGAGCATGTTAAGTTGGAGATGCCTATGAGATAGCCAAGCAGAGATGCCAACAAGGTGAGTGGATGTATAAGACTATTAGATTGGTGCAAATGTCATTTTGGTTTTTGCCATTAAAAACAATAGCAAAAACCGCAATTACATTTGCACCAACCTAATAGAAGACTGAGGAGTAGAGATATGCATTAGTATTTTTCAGTGATTAGAACGTATTACAGCCCTGAGGCTGGTTGTGATCACAAAGGAAATGAATGTAGGGAGAGAGGAGACAGAGATAAAGGGCTGAGAACTGGGGCATTCCAAATGTCAGAGGTCAAGTTAATAAGAAAGAACCTGCAAAGGAGACTGGAGAACAAGTGCCCATGAAACAGGAGGACAAGCGGCGGCGGCGTCCTGGAAGTGTGCCTTGTGTGTATTCACATCACTCACAAGCAGAAGCAATGTGTGAGTGGTGCCTGTGCTCCAGAAGGGCTGAGGTTAGGGTGGGTTCTGTCTGAGCAGGAAGCAACTTGTACTCCTGGGTGAAAGGGTGGAGAGACAGCCCAGGTGATTTTTAAGTTGGTCTGAGAACAGGCCTGGGAAGATGATCGTTTTAGCTAATGAGCCCTTGCTCTTCCGTAGAAAAGTGTGCTGAAATGTGCTTCCTTCAGCTCCATCTCTCAAAGCCTCTGCTCTGGCTTCTCCTGGGAATGATGCCAGCCCAAGATGGCTGGCTGACTTTTCCTGCCAGGATGTGTCATGGAGCAGAGAGCTGGCACTGACAGTTCCCCAGAGGGAGAGGGGAGGACTGAAATTGTCAGGGCAAGATATGGGCCTGGTGGAGCCCAGAGGAATGGCCCCGTCTGTAGTCCACCTGCTGACATTTCTTCTCTGGGTCTCTTCTTGACTTGAGAGCTCTTTCTAGGTAGGCAATGCTCTTTCAGTGCTGACTTTAATGTGTGTCCTGGGGTTTTTCTAGAAAATGGCAGCTGGTGCAGACTTTGGCATTTCCTGGGACTAACATAGCACTTTGGTTCAATTTAGTTCAATAAAATTATAAGGCACAATTATGCCTTCATCTCTGTAAAAACTGTTTCTGCCTTCAGCCAATCAGCTTCTTCCTCTCTTGTCTCTGTCACCCACCAACCTGCTGGTCAGTCCTCTCCACTCATCAAGGACCTTGGCTCCCGGTTCAGCAGCTTCTTCTCTCTTCCCTATCTCCCTCTCATTCTGGGTGATTTCAGCACTAATGTGAATGAACTATCTATCCAGTGTCCTAACCCTACAATACCTTGATACCCTCAACTCCAGGGCTATTCACCTCCACTCCAATAACCTACTCATACCCAAGGCCTCACCTTGGACTTTCTCACCACTCAGATTTGCTCCAACCTGGAAAACTTAAACTCTAATGTCCTGCTTCCTGAAAACAGTTTTGGTGCTTCTCATACCCTGATTCCTTTCTTCTCTTTATACCTGCTCCTTGCCTTCTTCCTTCAGTACATTTCCTCCTAATCTATCAACCAAATCCTCATTCCACTTCCTGCATTTTTCAGTCCAAACTCATAGCCTGTCACTTCATCCTTGCTAATATCCTTGTCCACTTGTCCTCAGCTGCATCCACACTGCAAGACGCCACTCTGAATTAATCCGTCCACTTTTCTGCTCCTGCCCAGAAAAATATCACATCCAGCCACTGGAGGAATTAAGTTGATACCCCTGTAAATTCACTCTCTAGCCTTCCATATACCTCTTGCTGGGTCTACAGCTGCTCTCAGCAGCAGACCTCATCATTATTCTGAGAGAAAATAAAGGCAATCAGAAAAGAACACCTTCCCTTCAGTCTTCCTAAGCCCACTGTTAACAATCTTATCTATATTTCTACCCATCTGTCTCTTTCCTCCTATCCAAAGCTAAGCTTTACATGTTCCCAACCCTACACATGCCCATCCCTCACCAGCTTCTCAGAATTCTTACTCCATCAATTATCTCCTCTCCTCTATATTTTCAAGCTCTCCCTCACTTCTAGTTCTTTCCCTCAAGCCTATAACTAAGCTCAAGATTTCTACCATAGAGGAAAAAAAAAAAAACAACTCACAAAACCCAACCCCACTCCCAGATGCCACATTACCACACTCCTTCCTTCCACTTCAAGTTTCTTAAATGAGTGATCTGTGCACTCAGGGTGTCTTACTCCCTGCTTCCCAGTTACTCCTAATCTGGCTTATGTCCCCCATAACTCCTTGAAATGGCAGAAACTATTCTGGCAAAGATAGACACTTATGTCCAAGCTGCTAAATCCAACACTTTTCAGTTCCCATCCTAGGTGACCTCTCTGTCTCATGTGATAGCCCTGGCTGTCCCCACTCCCTGCACTTCATGCCTCCTTTTGTTTCACTACTCTGTGCCCCGACCATCCTGAAACCCTACAGTTCCTTGAGTGTGCCTTTGTGCCTGTGGCTTCCTCGACCTGAATAACTCTTCTCCATCCACATCCTGTTTTCCAATTCTCCTTCCAAATGCAGCCCAGGAAGGAGCCCACTGTACTTGCCGGGCAGCCTGTGCTTCTCACTGCTAGAGCACTCATCGCTGTATAGGAATTGACTTTCCCATCACCCCACTACACTGAAACTCCTTGGGAGCAGGGACTGTGTTTTAATCTACTTTTCTTTCTCCATTTTATTCAGCAGCATTAGACATAGTTGACCACTCTGTCCTTCATGGAGCTCGTTTTTCTCTAGGCTTCCATGACACCATGTTCTCCTGGGTTACCTCCTACTTCACTGACTGTTCCTTTTTAATACCTTGGATGACTGCTCCTCCTCTGTTTAGCCTCAACATTTTCATATCCAAACTCCACCCTGGGCCCTTTTCTGTACTTTATTTACATACTCTCCCTAGGTAATCTCCCCCATTGTTTTCAATGCCATCTATATATTGCTGGCCCCCAGATTTCTATCTGAATCTAATCTCCTCCTTGGGCTTCAGATATGTATATACATTTGCCTACTGCATCTCTGTGTGAATGTTTAATCAGCATCTCAAACTTAACATGGCCAAAATAGAATTCTGTTCTAGAAATCTGTTCTCCCTGAGTCGTCTCTATCTCTGTATATGGCACCAGCTACTCACCCCATTGTTTGGCCCAAAAACCTAAAAGTAATGTGACCAATTATCCTGGTTTGTCTGGGACTTGTCCTGGTTTTAGCCCTGAAAATCCCATGTCCCAGGAAACCCCTCAGTCTCAGGCAATCTGGGTTGGTTTGTCATTCTACTTAGGAGCCACCCTAGATTTCTTTCCTCACATTCCACATCCAGTCAATTTGACCTCCTTCCAGATATACCCCAAATCTTCCCCCTTTCCACTTCCACTGCCCCCTGGTCCAAGCCTCCATCATGTCCTACGTAGACCATCCAAACAGCCTCTTCATCTGGCCTCCCTTCCTCTTTGCTTGGCCTGCTACATTTTTTATTTTTTACACAATAGCCAGAGGATCAATAGCAAAGAGAAAATATGATTGTAGCACCCCACAATCTCACCAGCTAAAGCCCTCCAATTACACAGAGAATAAATCCAAATTTTTTCCTGTAGTCTCCCCATGATCTGGCCCCTGTTGGCCCAGCCACCGTCATCTCATATTTCTCTCCCCCTTATTTATTACCGCTTACCGAAGCCATCTTTCATCCCAGCCTCCCCCGTGATCACCTCATGACCCACTCCTCCCTACCACTCAGGCCTGAGATCAAGGTCACCTCCTCAGTGATACCTTCCCCAACTACTGTATCCAAAGATACCCTGCAAGTCTCTCCCTATCACATCACTCTCTTCTATTGTCTTTACAGCATATATCACTACCTGAAGGCTTCTTGTTATCTTATTTTTGTTTTCTGACTCCACCACTTAAGGTGTAAGCTCCTTGAGAGCAGAGACCTAGCCAGTCTTATTCAAATCTGTGTTCCCAGCACTTGGCCCAGACCCTGGCACACAGTAAGTGCTCAATAAATATTTGATGAGTAAATGGATATTCACCACATAGTACAGGACCTCTCACTGTACTCGTAAAAGACATTGAATGAACAAATTCATGAGAAAACCAAGCTGTATGCTAGGCACTGGGCCCACCTTTATAACCTAAGATACAGTTCTTTTGGACTTTATGGTCTACTGGGAAACAAATGCATAAATCAACCTTTTAAACAAAATATGCGTAACAGTTTGAATATGATGGGGAGTAAGAAGTGGCATAGTCTTTTATTTTCTTAAATAAAATGTTGCTGGCTATAGGGGCTAACACCTGTAATTCCAGCATTTTTGGAGGCCAAGGGGGTTGGATCACTTGAAGCCAGGAGTTTGAGACCAGCCTGGGCAACAAAGTAGAACCTCATTTTTACAAAAGAATTTTTAAAATTAGCTGGGCATGGTGGTGCACAACTGTAGTCCCAGCTACTTGGGAGGTTGAGGCTGGAAGATCACTTGAGCCCAGGATTTGGAGGCTGCAGTGTTATGATCATGCCACTGCACTCCGGCCGGGGTGACAGAGTGAGACTGAGACCTCGTCTCTAAAAAAATAATTAAATTAAATTAAAACTAAAGAAAATGTGATCTGCTCCGGGTCCTCTTTCCACTGAGGTGGCAGCAGATTCAATCTCAGTCATTATTGGGCCTCTCCCCACAACCTCTACAGTTATAAGGAGGTCCGAGGAGTCCAAAAGATCCAGGAAGGGCCCTTTAATCTTCAGCTCCATATGCACCTGGCTTTAGCCTCTGTCATTCCTTGAAGGATTGGCTGCTTCTTTTTTTTTTTTTTTTTTTTTTTTTTTTTTGAGACAGAATCTGGCTGTTGCCCAGGCTGGAGCTGGAGTGCAGTGGTGCAATTTCGGCTCACTGCAACCCCTGCCTCCCAGGTTCAAGCGATTCTCCTGCCTCGGCCTCCTGAGTAGCTGGGATTACAGGCACACACCACCACACCCAGCTAGTTTTTGTATTTTTAGCAGAGATGGAGTTTCACCATATTGGTCAGGCTGGTCTTGAACTCCTGATCTCCTGATTCGCCCGCCTCGGCCTCCCAAAATGCTGGGATTACAGGCGTGAGCCACCACGCCCGGCCAGGATTGGCTGCTTCTTGGCCAACCTAGGACTTGGGGAAAAAGGATAGATAAGAGAGGTTGAGGGGTTTTGTGGGAGCAAACTTTCGATCCAGTCTACTCACAGGACCTCCCAAAAACTCCATGCCATTTTCATCTCTGAAATTGCTTTGAACATGCCTCTGGTCTGTGAATCCCACCTGTCTTTACCTAAGCCCTTCTCTTCTTTTCCTCCTCCCTTAGGACTGTCCTACAAAATTTCCCTTAGGTGGTCTATCTCACTGCTTCCCACAAATGAGAAAGGGGAATAAGGTGTTACAAATGGCCAATTATTCATGTGAAACAGAACTCTTACATCTCCCTCCACCAAGCTGCTCCCCTTTCAGAATTTCCTATCTCAATGAAAACATCACCTTCCTCCTTGTCACCAAGCCTAGTAAAGCTGACTCCTTTGTGATTTCTCCTTCTCCTTCATCTAACAAGCCACTGAATCCTGCCAACTATTACACCTCCATGGCTCCCCCTTTCCACTCTAACCATCCCTTTGGTTGAGCTCATTACCTCAGGCCTATATTTGAACAAGAGCATCCTACTTGATCTATTATAATTGCTCCTCAGTTCAATCCATCCACAAATGATCCAAGAGCTATTCCAAAAGAACCCATCTGACCATGTCACTCCCATAATGGTTTGTCACTTTATGTAGAATAAAACAGACCAACTTTGTTAGCATGGCATTCAAAGTACTCTATCATTTAGACCCTACATAACGAACTTTATCCCCCACTATTCTTCTCTATCCCCCAGGACCTCCACCCAAACTTATCAGCCTATTAGCCATTTCCCCAGCATGTTTCCCATATCCTTCCATTTCTACCTTTTCTCCAAAGCTATTTTTCCTACTTGAAATATCCTTTGCCTTGCTACCCTTTAACTGCCCCATTCCCTCAACATCCACCCAGTCAAGAGTACTCATTTGTTAGAGTCCAACCCTATCTAATCCAAAAAGAAGGAATTAACATTTACCTAGAAAAGGAGTGAAGCATTGTAGTTAGAGGCATGGGATCTGGAGCCAGACTGGGTTTCACTCCTAGTTCTCTGCCATTCCCTAGTTACGTAACTCGGGTGGGTTACTATGCTTCAGGTCCCTCATCTGTAAATCGGGATATATATCATAATATATACTATGTGAGTATTTGATATTATGAGACAAATATGGTGTAAGAACTTGTCATATATTACCTACTTTAATCCTCCCAACTACTTTGAGAGATATTATTATTCAAATTTTACAGATGGCCTCTTAAGACTCAAATAATTTACTTATGGGCACACAGCTGGTGGAAATGGAAAGCTGGAATTCAACCTCAAATCTGTCTGGACCAATGCCCAGGTTCTCTTTACAGCACTGGAAAGAGCACTAGGAAAGAAGCAGAGAGGTCTAATCTCTCAAACTTACTCTCAGGTGGAGACCGTAAAAGAGAATGTGTGTGCTGGTAAGGAGCATAGAGAAACACAGGAGCATGAGGAAGTAATATTAGGCTCAGAGTCAAAGGCAGTTGACAGGCCAATATGTAACCCGACAAGGGAAAAAAAATGACAGGAAACATGGGTGTGAGCCCAAGAGCAATATCAGACTTTGTTACTGAGAAAAGGTAACAAAACAGTTAACTTGAGAAGACAGGTGTTACATCTAACATCTTAACTTTAAGGAGCCTAGCACAAAATCAGGGACTTGAAGAGTTTAAAGAAGTCACTTGGCCAGGTGCTCTGGCTCACACCTATAATCCTAGCACTTTGGGAGGGACACGAGGCAGGAGGACGGCTTGAGCCCAGGAGTTCAAGGTTGTAGTAAGCCATGATGGTGCTAATGCCCTCCAGCCTGGGTGACAGAGGGAGACCCTGTCTTAAAAAAAGTCACTCCATTATCTCACCCAGTTCTTAAAGTACTGAAAGAAAAACCATCAACCTAGAATTCTAAAGCTAATAAAAATATTTTTCTAAAGTGAGGGAAGAAGTAAAGACTTTTTCAGACAAAATCTGAGATAAATCATCAGCAGCAAGGTTACATGACAAGAAATGTTCAAGAAGCTCTTCAGGCAGATGGAAAATAATATCTAATAGAAAACTGGATCTACACAAAGCAGCAGAAATGGTAAACAAGTGGTAAATAAAGATGTTTTCTAATTCTCAATCTCTTTAAAAGATGATGAACTCTTTAAAGCAAAAACAATAGCAACATATTGTAGGTTTATAACTTTTGTATAAGAAAAAAGGTACCACAACAGCAGCACAAGGGACAGGAGGAAGGAAATGGAAGCATACTGTTGTTAGGTGCACACACACACACACACACACACACACACACAAGTGAGGTAATATACATGAAGTGGTATATTATTTAAAGGTATACTGTGACTATGATGAGTTAAAGCCATATATTTAAACAACAGTTGCTAAAATCAAATAAAGAGGTGTAGCTAATAAGCCAATAGTGAAGATAAAATGGAGTCACAAAAAATAATCCACAAAAAAGGATAAGAAAAGAAAAATACAGAAAACAAAAAAACAAGATAGATTTAATCTTAACTCTATCAATAATTACATTAAATGTGAATGGTCTAAATATTCCCAATTAGAAGGCAGACATTGTCAGATTGCATTTAAAAAAAAAATCCAACTGAATGCTATCTACAAAAAACTTACTTTAAATATAAAGACATCAACAGGTTAAATGTTAAAGGATGGACAGACTTCCATTTTGTGGTGTTATGAAGAGATCTGCAAATCCTCCTCTTCAAAAGTAAATATAAAACTGGAAAAAACTGACAAAAATAAACATTTCAGGCATCTGAAAATGAACCAAAGGTAGACCAAAAACTGAGAAGCATTTACTCTTTAAAAATTGCTAGAGATTTAGGTATTAAGTATTAAAAGAAATTTGGTTTCTTGACCTCAGTCCCTACATTGTGAGCTGAATAACTCTTTGTTTCAGAGACTGTCCAGGCATTGCAGAATGTTAAGCAGTATCTCTGGCTTCTAGCTACTAGGTGCCGGCAGCATTTCCCCATTTGCGACAACCAAAAATGTCTCCAGACTTTTCCAAATGTCCCCATGGGGGCAAAATCAGGAAGATAAACAAAAATAAATCTAAATGCACCTAGCAAAGAGCCCTAAAACACAGAAAGTAAAAACTGACAGTAGAGAATGTAGAAATAAACAATTCAGTTGAACGATTATAGTTGGTGTTTTGATACTCCTCTCTTGGAGTATCAATTTATAAAACAATTAGAAAATCAGTAAGTATATAGAGGGCTTGAACAACATTATCAATCAACTTGACCTAACCAACATATAGAGAACATGTCACTAGCAAAGGCCGAATACACATTTTTTTGGTCAAACATATATGGAACACTCTACAGGACAGACATACGCTAGGTCTTAAAACAAATCTCAATGCATTTTAAAGGATTAGAATAAAAGAAAGTAATTTTATCTAGGCACCATAAAATTAAGTTAGAAGTCAACAAGATATTTGGGATATCTCAAATGTTTAAACTTAAAAATTAAGTGACATACTTTTAATTTTTCTTTTTTTGGAGACAGGGTCTCACTTTGTAACCTAGGCTGGAGTGCAGTAGCACGATCACAGCTCCCTACACCCTCAACCTCCCAGGCTCAAGAAATCCTTCTATCTCAGTCTCCTGAATAGCTAGGACCACAAATGTGTGCCACCATGTCCACGTTTTTTGTTGTTATTGTTGTTGTTGTTGTTTTGTTTGTTTGCTTTTCTGCAGAGACAGGGTCTCCCTATTTTGCCCAGGCTGGTCTCGAGCTCCTGGGCTCAAGTGATCCTCCCGCCTCGGCCTCCCAAAGTGCTGGGATTACAGGTGTGAGCAACTGTGCCTGGCCAAAATGACACAATTCCAATAACCATAGGTCGAAGAAATCACACAGGAAATTAGAAAATAGCTTGAACTGAATGAAAATGAAAACACAACATATAAACATATGTGAGAAGCAGCTAATGATGCCTATAGGGAACCTTTTAGCATTAGATATTTATATTAGAAGAAAAGAAAGGTCTTGAATCAGTGGTCTAAGTGCCACCTTAAGAATTAGAAAAAGAACAAATTGAACCCCAAAAAAGGAGAAGAAAGAAAATGCACTACAGATCAGAAATCAATGGACAAAACAAAGCAAAACAAAAAACAATTGGAAAACAATCAATGAAACCAAAAGCTGGTTCTTTAAAAAGATCAATAAAATTAATAAACCTCTAGCCAGACTGATAAGCAAAAAAAGAGAGAGAGAGAAGACGACATAAATTACCAAGATCAGGAATGAAAAAGAAGACATCACTGATCCTAAAGACAAGGCAAGGATTCCTCCTCTGACCACTTCTACTTGCCTTTGTACTTGTTATACTAGCTGGTACAATAAAGCAAGAAAAACATAAATAAAAGGCATACAGATGAGAAAGAAGGAAGCGAAGTCATTTTTATTCTAAGACATGATCATCTATGTAAAATATTCAAAGGTCACAAGACACAGAGTTAATATAGAAAAATAAATTGTATTTCTATATTACTAGCAAAGAAGTGGAAATTGAAATGAAAAAAGTACAATTTATAATAGTATCTCAAAAAGGAAATATTTAGGGATAATGTAACAAAATATGTACAAGATCAATATATTGAATACTACAAAACACTTGAGAGAAACTTAAAAAGACTCAAATAAATGGAGAAATATAGTGTGTTTATGGATCAAAGGACTCAATATTGTTAAGATGTCAACTCTTCCTAAATCAATCCATACAGTCAGTGTAATTCCATTCAATGCCCAACCAGCACCCCCCACCTGCCCCGCATTTTTTTTGGTAAGAATTAATAAGCTAGTCCTGAAATTCAAATAGAAATGCAAAGGGTGACACTCCTATTTGGCAGCCATTTCTCTTAAAGCTCAGTGGTTCTGGACCTGCAGTATCTGCTGAGTTAGGAGGGACAGGAGAGTAGCAGCTAGGTCGGTGGCAAATAGCCCGCAACATTCCCTTTAGTTACAATGAGTTTACCCCTCAATCTCAAATATTTCCTCAGTGGATTAACAGGAGAGCCAGTGATGGTGAAGCTTAAGTGGGAATGGAGTATAAGGGCTACCTGGTATCTGTAGATGGCTATATGAACATGCAGCTTGCAGATACAGAATTCATAAATGAGGCATTGCCTGGACATCTAGGTGAAGTTTTAATAAGGTGTAATAATGTCCTTTATATCAGAGATGTGGAAGAAGAGGAAATGGGGAAATGAGTGAATAGCATCTTTTGAAGAGGATTTTTTAAATATGTATTTCTAGACAATAAAGATTTGTTTTTCAAAAAAAAAAAAAGCAAAGGGCCTGGAGTAACAAAAACCATTTTGAAAAAGAACAAAGTAATTTCAAGACTCACTATAAAGTTACAGTAATCAAGGCAGTGTGGTATTTATGTAAGCACAGAGATACAGATCAATGAAACAGAATACAGGGTCCAGAAATAGATCCATCTACATGGTCAACTGAAATTTGAAAAATATGTCAAAATTACTCAATGGAGAAAGGATAGTCTTTTCAACAATTGAATATCCATGTGCAAAAATATGAAGCTTAACCCTTGCCCTCATAACACATACAAAGGTTAACTCAGAGTGAATGACAAGACTTAAATGTCAGAGCTAAAACTACAAAACTTCTAGAAGTAAACATAAACAAAAATATTCATGACTTTGTTAGGGAAAAACTTCTAAGACCTTTGGAAAAGCATGGACCATAGAAGAAAAAATTGATAAACTGAACTTCTGCAAAATTAAAAAAATTCTGCTCCCCAAATTACATAATTTAAAAAATAAAAAGGCAAGCCACAGACTGGGAGAAATATTTGCAAAATATAAAGGACTTATATCTAGAATATGTTTTTAAAGACACACACACATACACAAATCCATATAAATACTAACAATTTGGCTTAAAAAAAAGGACAAAAGATTTGAACAGACACTTGACTGAAGAAGGTATTTATCAATGCAAATAAACATGTGGAAAGATGCTCCATATCATTAAACACCAAGGAAATGCAAATTTACACCAAAATAAGATGCCACTAGAATAGCTAAACTTAAAAAGACTTACAATATCAAGTGTTGGCAAGGATGTGGAGCAACTGGAGCTCATACGCTGCTGCCAAGTAGTATAGCCACTTTGGAAAACTGTTTGGGAGTTTCTTATATAATTAGATATATACTTACCATATGATCCAGCAGTCTCACTCCTGGATTTATCAAAAAGCAATGAAATCATATGTCCACTCAAACGCTTGTACTCAACAGTTCATAGAAGCTTTATTCATAATAGACACAAATTTATATGTGCTTATATATGTATATGTTTATATGTTTATATATGTAGTCATGTTTATATAACTACACATATTTATCAAAACTCATTGAATTCATACTTAAACAAGCCAACTGTTTATTATCTAGTAAATGAACAAATAGTGGTATAATTATACAATGAAATACTACTCAGCCATGAAAAGGAATGGACTACTGATACACTCAACAGAAGGAATGGACTGCAGAGACACTCAACAGCACAGATGAATCTCAAAAGCATTACAGTAAAGAAGCCCACCACAGAAGGGTCCATGCTGTACATCCGATACCATTTTTCTGAAATTCTAGAAGAGCTAAAAGTGTTGAAAGCAGATCAAAGGCCAGACGTGGTGGCTCACACCTGCAATCCCAGCATGTTGGGAGGCCAAAACAGGCAGATCTCTTGAGCCCAGAAGTTCAAGACTAGCCTGGGCAACATGCCAAAACCTTATCTCTACTAAAAATACAAAAAAAAAAAAAAAAGCAAAAACAAAAACAAAAAAAAAAAAACAAAAAACCAGCTGGGTGTGGTCGCACACAGCTGTAGTCCCAGCTACTCAGGAGGCTGAGGTGGGAGGATCACCTGAACCCAGGGAGATAAGGCTGCAGTGAGCCGTGATCACACCACTACACTCCAGCCTGGGTGACAGTAAGACCCTGTCTGTCAAAAAAAAAAAAAAAGACAAAGAAAAGAAAAGCAATGGCTGCCAAAAGCTGGAGGTTGGGAAGGGGACCGAATACAAAAGAACATAAGGGAACTTTCTGGGTGATGGAAATGATCCATATTTTGATAGTGGTGGTGTTTATATGACTACACGTGTT